>NW_025791812.1:0-177865 GCF_000001405.40 Homo sapiens | reverse complement strand
GCCACAAAAACAGGCCTAGAAGGGCAAGTGGGGAGGGTCAAGAGAATCTGGGAGTCTGGGGTCCAGGCCTCTGGATCCTTGCACAGTGGCCTTGGACTGGGAACACTGCCATCAACCAGGGAGGGGGATGAAAGCAGCTTTTACAAAGCAGGGTCTGAGGTCCTCAGACAGGCCCCCTTTGTGGACTTCCTTTCCCTCCCCACCCCCATGCCGGCTGCCAGTAGCATCGCCCTCATTGAATGGCTGGCTTGCACACACTGGAAATTTGCAACACAAATGCACGGCTTGTCTCCCTCTCCACAGAGCCTCACTGCCCCAGCCTTTTGGGGCCTTTTAAAGTCTGCCTTTCTCTGGGGTACTTTCTTTCTTCAGCTCAAGCCCCCAGCCCTAGATGCAGCCACAATCACTAATTAACGCTGGGTTAAAACACGTCCTGGGAAAGTGAGCTGGGCGGCCACCGAGGCGTTCTCATCATCACTCAGAGGACAAGGACAAGGCGGCGGTGGGAATCGGTGGAAGGGGCTGGGTTTTCATTCTCCGGGTTCTTTCTGGCTCCCCATCCTCCCCCACCCCCCGCCCCACTATGCTCTTTCTCAGTGGGTTTGAGAATTTACTGCAAATAAAGCCTGTCACCAAGATGGCTCCCAGCCCTCCCCGCCACCAGGCTGCCACCAAGCAGCCCGTTTTTTCAGAGCTCAGCTCTGAAAAACTACAATAACTGCTACCATTTGCCAAGACACTTACATATCAGACACCAACATGCATATTTCTTTTTCTTTCTTTCTTTTTGTGGAGACGGGGGTCTCACTGTGTTGCCCAAGCTGGTCTCGAACTCCTGGGCTCAAGCAACCTGCCTGCCTCTGCCTCCAAGTGTTGGGATTACAGGTGTGAGCCACCGCATCCGGCCAAGCATATTTCTGGTTCTCACAACAACCTGGAGTGGTAGTTCTTATCACCTCCATTGTACAGATGTAGTAACTGAGGCTCAGAGAGATTAAGGGATTGACCTTGCCTAGAATCTCACATGGGGCAAATGGCAGAGTTGGTTTCAAATCCAAATCCATTTGCTCCCATTTTAAGCTTCTCCCTACTCCTGTCTGACGATGAACTCCTGGGTTTACATGACTTCTCCCTTCTCTCGATTCTTGGAACATTTATACTGATACTGTGTCCCTCTCTGCATTTATACTGATACTGTGTCCCTCTCTGGATCTACCTGCCCAGGGTAATGACTCAGCTTCCTCCTGTAGCTCTTTGAAGACAAGCACTGTGTCCAAACACTCTGCGTTCCTCATAGCACCCAGAAGATGCTATGCAGAGGGGAGAGAGCCACCCCACTCCCCTAACTGCAGAAAAGGGACTAAGCCCCTCGGAGATGGACAGCTAATCCAGCAAGCTCTACGTGGGCCTAATTAGTTGCTTAAGAGGGGTTTGTGGGATGAGGAAATAAATGCTCATTTAAGAAATTCGGGGGCAGACCCCCATCGCTGCTGGGGGGAAAGTCAATGGTACAGCCATTGTGGAAAAGACTGGCAGTTTCTTAAAAAGCTAAACCCTCATTATATGACCCAGTGATTCCCCTCCTAGGTACCCACCCAAGATTAATGAAAACATGTTCACACAAGGTCTCCTACTGAAATATTCATAGCAGTTCAGGCAGGGTGACTCACACCTGTAATCTCAACACTTTGGGAGGCCGAGGTGGGAGGATCACTTGAACCCAAGAGTTTGATAGAGAGAGACCCTGGGCAATATAGAGAGACCCCATTGCTACAAAAAAATTTTTTTTAATTAGCTGGGCGCAGCGGATCACGCCTGTGGTCCCAGCTACTCAGGAGGCTGAGGTGGGAGGATCACTTGAGCACAGGAAGTCAAAGCTGCAGCGAGCTGAGATTGTGCCACTGCACTCCAGCCTATGTGACAGCAAGACCCTGTCTCAAAAAAAAAAAAAGTTCGTAGCAGCATAATTCATACTAGCCCCAAACTGGAATCAACCCAAATGTCCATCAAGGTGAATGGGTAAACAAACAGTCATACATCCATACAATGGAATAAAAAGGAACAAACTATTAATACCTGGATCAACATGGATGAAGGTCAAACATTATGCTGAGTGAAAGAAGCCTGACACCAAAAAGTGCGTATTTTATTTGATTTATTATGATTTACTCATCATATAAAAGATTCCATTTATAGGAATTTCCTAGCAAAGGAAAAACTGTAAGACAGCAGATTAGGGGTTGCCTAGGGCAGGGGGCAAGAGTGGAGACTGAGAGCAAATGGGCTAGAGGGAATTTTTGGAGGGACAGAAGCATTCCAAAACAGGATTGTGGCAATGGTGGCACCACCGTATAAATGTATGAAAGCTCATGGAGCCATAGACTTAAAACCAGTGAGCTTTATGATATGTTAACTCTTTTTTGTTTGTTTATTTGTTTTTTAGATGGAGTCTCCCTCTGTCGCCCAAGATGGAGCACAGTGGCGCGATCTTGGCTCCCTGCAACCTCCACCTCCCTGGTTCAAGCAATTCCCCTGCCTCAGCCTCCCGAGTAGCTGGGATTACAGGCGCATGCCACCACGCCCGCCTAATTTTTTTGTATTTTTAGTAGAGACAGGGTCTCACCATGTTGGCCAGATTGGTCTCGAACTCCTGACCTCAGGCAATCCGCCTGCCTCGGCCTCCCAAAGTGCTGAGATTACAGGTGTAAGCCACCACGCCCGGCCAAACTGTTGAAGTTCTTTTTAAAAAAAAAAAAAAAAAAATTAGAACTGGTAGGCCCAGGAAGGGCCTTAGTGTGGGGCAAACAAATTGGAAATCAGAAAACTTTTTTTTCCTTTTTTTTTCAATAGAGACAAGGTGTCACTCCATTGCCCAGGCTGGAGTACGGAAGCACGAACATAGCTCACTGCAGCCTCTAACTCCTGGGCTCAAGTGATCCTCCTGCCTCAGCCTCCTGAGTAGCTGGGGCTGTAAGGAAGTCAGAAAACATGTTTGAGTCATAGCTCTTCCAGCTACTGACTAGCTCTGTGGCTGTGGCTGAGCACGTAACCTTTCATGCCTGTTTCCTCATTTACCGCAATGACAAGAACAGCAATTATCAAAGCTAAATTGTGAGCTCTGCCCTATGCCAGGTCTGCCCTTTATGCAATGTCACAATAATTCTCACCCAAGAGCCTCATAAGTTGAGCTCTATCACTCCCATTTTACAAATAAGAAAACTGAGATAGGGCGTGAAGTCTGTAGCACAATGCCTGGCACAGAGTTTCAACCGAGGCTGGATTCTGAGCCCCATGGCTTCTCCGGCCAACTCCATGTAACCTGCATCTGTGCCCTGGACCAGCGTCCACTCTGGGTGCCCAGCTCTGCATGGTCCCCACTTTGCATTTCCAGGAGTTACCCCACACTTCCTGACTGTGCGAGAGCCCATAGCCCTGGGGCTCCCAACTGCTTCGTCTGCTCCCTGCTGCTGTGACCTGCACTTTTTTTTTTTAAATAATATTTGAGTTCTGGCCAGGACAACATAGTGAGATCTCATCTCTACTAAAAATAAACAAAATTAGCTGGGCATGGTGGCGTGCAACTGCAGTCCCAGCTACTCAGGAGGCTGAGGTTGGGGACTGCTTGAGCCTAGGAGGTCAAGGCTGCAGTGAGCTGAGATCTCACCACTACACTCTAGCCTGAGCGAGACCCTGTCTCCAAAAAATTAAGTAAATAAAATAATAATAATAATAATTAATTTAAAGCTATCAACCCATTTATTTTTATTTTTATTTTTATTTATTTATTTATTTTATTTATTTTTTTGAGACGGAGTCTCACTCTGTCACCCAGGCTGGAGTGCAGTGGCACCATCTTGGTTCACTGCAAGCTCCGCCTCCTGGGTCCTGAGCCATTCTTCTGCCTCAGCCTCCCGAGTAGCTGGGACCACAGGCACCCACCACCACGCCCGGCTAATTTTTTGTATTTTTAATAGAGACGGGATTTCACCATGTTAGCCAGAATGATCTCGATCTCCTGACCTCGTGAGCCGCCCGCCTCAGCCTCCCAAGGTGCTGGGATTACAGACGTGAACCACCACGCCCTGTTTTTATTTATTTTTTTTTTTGAGACAGAGTCTCACTCTGTTGTTCAAGCTGAAGTGCAGCGGCGCCATCTCGGCTCACACCAACCTCTGCCTCTGGGGCTTAAGCTATTCTTGTGCCTCAGCCTCCCCAGTAGCTGGGATTACAGGCACATGCCACTACACCCAGCTAATTTTTTTGTATTTTAGTAGAGACGGGGTTTCACCATGTTGCCCAGAGTGGTCACGAACTCCTGAGCTCAGGCAGTCCGCCTGCCTCGGCCTCCCAAAGTGCTGGGGTTACAGGCATGAGCCACCGCACCTGGCCACTATCAGCCCATTCTTAATCCTTGGGGATCTGGCCTGACCTGACCACTTCGTATCCTGGCCAGCAAGGTGACATACCACTCAAGCCTTGCTTCTATGAGAAACATCTCATATTTGCTAGATGCCAAGAACATGGCTCAGTGCAGGCTAAGAAGGAGAACCACAAAATAGTGTTGCTAAGGGGACTCTTGGAAATTACTGGCTTGTAATTGTGACCCATCGAGGTACCTCAGGGATAGGCAAGGGGGTCTCCACTTCCCCCTCTTCAACCAGAGTAGCCCCATATTAAAAACCTGTCTCTGTAGGTTTCCAAAGAAAGAGTTTTGCTACTTTTTAAAAAATGTTTGGGCTGGGTGTGGTGGCTCACACCTGTCATCCCAGTGCTTTGGGAGGCAGAAGCACGTGGATCACCTGAGGTCAGAAGTTTGAGACCAACCTGGCCAACATGGTGAAATCCCATCTCTACTAAAATACAAAACTTAGCCAGGCGTGGTGGTACGCACCTGTAATCCCAGCTACTCTGGAGGCTAAGGCAGGAGAATCATTTGAACCCGGGAGGTGGAGGTTGCAATGAGTCGAGATTATGCCACTGCACTCCAACCTGGGTGGCAAAGATAGGATCCCTCTCAAAAAAATAGTTTGAAAGTTGCTGTTCTATGTCAACTCTCAAGTTTCCAGGTAGAAACTGAGGCCCGGAGGGTAGAAGTTTTTTTTCTTTTTTTGAGACAGAGTCTCGCTCTGTCGCCCAGGCTGGAGTGCAGTGGCACGATCTCGGCTCACTGCAACCTCCACCTCCCGGGTTCAAGCAATTCTCCTGCCTCAGCCTCCTGAGTAGCTGGGATTACAGGTGCCCACTACCACACCCAGCTAATTTTTGTATTTTTAGTAGAGACGGGGTTTCACCATGTTGGTCAGGCTGGTCTCGAACCCCTGACCTCATGATCCACCCGCCTCAGCCTCCCAAAGTGCTGGGATTACAGGTGTGAGCCACTGCACCCAGCCAGGTAGAAGTAACTTCCTAAGGGTCACAGAGGTCATGATTGACAGGCTTGGGAGAGGCAGCAGGTCCCTAGACTCGAGGCTTGGAGCTCTTTCCACACCTCCACGACGGCCGCCTGGGAAACCAGAGCTTCTGCCTCCTGTGCTTTTATGTCATTCCTGAGGATTTCTTAGCTATAGGCTAGAGAAATCTGGAAACACAACAACTCTCCCAAGGTTTTCCATCTCTTCCCTCTCATTTCACACTTCTCTGAGGCAACTGCCAATGTCTGGCTGCCTTGACAGGTGACGACGGATGCCCCCAGGCTAGCTGTTGAAATCAGCCTGTGACCAAGCAGGTGTAAATCAAATAGTGCAGAATTCTGATAATTGGACGACAAGGGAGATAGGGAACAAATTCCCCACTAAGGAGAGAATAACGCTTATTCATAATGTTGTCTACCCAAAAGTGAAATAAAATTACACAGGGACAAAGCTAAATTATATGAACTTTTGAAAAGGCACATTTATCTTGGAGAATCAATAAACTCTTGGTGTTTCACTGTTATGAGTTCTCCAATTATTTTTAACACATATTTTTTCTTTTTTTAAAAAATATATATTTTGAGATAGAGTCGTGCTCTGTCACCCAGGCTGGAGTGCCATAGCGTGGTCTTGGCTCACTGCAACCTCCGCCTCCCAGGCTCAGGTGACACTCTTGCCTCAGCCACCTGAGTAGCTGGGACTATACCCATGTGCCAACATGCCCAGCTAATTTTTAATTTTTTTCTAGAGACAGGGTCTCATTATGTTGCCCAGGTTGGTCTCAAACTTCTGAGCTCAGGCAATCCACCCGCCTCAGCCTCCCAAAGTGCTAGGATGGCAGGTGTGAGCCACCGCGCCCAGCCGAGTTCTCCAATCACTATTATAGCAGTATATATTCTCTATATCCTCTTGGAATAATGTTACACCTTTGTACTATGTCCACTGTGCCAAAGATAAAAGGAGACTTTACCAGGAGTCTAAGTCTGCAAGGGGCCAAACCTCTTTCACCAACAGGGTTTGTCAGTGTGATATGATGCTAAAAACAGTCCTTTGGTTGACTTGTGGGTAATTGATTCTCTGACGCTGACAACGCTTAGGAAAATGAAGAGATAAATGATGGGAACGCCAGGCGGCTGCCAGAGCAAACACCCAGCCCAGGGCCCCTGGATTTGAGCAGTGCCTCGGAGCAGAGGGATATCTGCCGCATCAGGTGAGAGGGGTGGCCCTGGGGGGGCTAGGCTGGGTGGGGGTAAGAAAAGTTAACCTTCTCACCAACTTAGAAACACTGAGTCCAAGAGGCCCACCGCCATCCTCTTTGCCCATGGACTGGTGAGTACATTTGAGCCCCTCTCTGGATAAAATCACCCCTCAATAGGGGCTCTGGAATAGGCTTTTGATGGTGCTGTTTGGGGCTTGTCTTAACTTGGGCGCGTGGCGGACTGGCTCCAGGTGTCTGTCGCAGGTGGTGAGGTCTCAGTGCTCCTTCGAGGATGCGTGGGCAGGCTTCGGGGGCAAACGTGAGTTGGCTCGATTTTCCTGTCAGCGATGGGATTCTGCCATGGATCAGAGATGAGCCAAGTGGCTGTGCAAATCAATACTGCTCATTGATCACTCAGAACTGATTCAATGTAATTGCCGGGAAATTGATAACATTTTGCTTTCTTGCTCAATTGCAGCCACACTCTTTACTCCAGGTTTTAGACACAATTATCTGCCTTTGGAGTCCTCCGCTACCCCACGCCTGTCTCCTGATCCTTGCTTTAATGGTCCTGAAGTATTTGTGTCTTTCACCATAGACTGCCTCAAACCCCTTCTGGAAGGAGGTGGAGTGTCACTCTTTTGAATGACAGTTCAAGATGCTTCCTCATTAAAAACTTAGATTTCTTTTAACTTGGAATGCTGTCACTGAAACAGTTTATAAACCAGATCAGGAAGTCTATGCTTTGGGGTGCTCAAATTTCAAAGGGGGATATTCAAGGAAGGTTAAAGATGTTCTTTCCCTGGGTTTTCAAAAATGGCCTTGCGAATTTGGGTGCTTGAGACCTGACCTCTGTCAGCTGCAGGTGAATCTGCAGAATTCTCCTGGCATTCCTGGCATGAAAGCTGGCAAAAGGTGCCAACGGATGTAGATCAAGTGCCCGTTTATCCTGAATCCAGGCAATCTCAAGTACATCTAATCCCAGAATCAGTAAGCACTGCAGGAAGCTAACCGATGATCATAATGATAGATTATAAACTCTGGAGTGCCTTCAGTCATCAGGGTTGCCAGCAATGCTGTTGGGCTCGGCTACACTTCATTCAGTGAATTTTGACTCCTTAAGTTGTCATGTGGAATGTGTCTGTTGACAGCTATTTTATTTTATTCTTTGAGATGGGGTCTTGCTCTGACATTTAGGCTACTGTGCAGTGGCACTATCATGGATCACTGCAGCCTTAACCTCCCGGGCTCAAGCAATCCTCCCACATCAGCCTCCAGAGTAGCTGGGACTACAGGCATGCGCCACCATGCCTAGATAAGTTTTTTTTTGTTTTGTTTTGTGTGTTTTTTTTTTTGTAGAGATGGGGTCTCGCCATGTTGCTCAGGCTGGAGCTATTTTATCCTTAGTGACATAACCTCTATTCTTCTTATCTTACCCTACACTGGATAATTCTTGTTTCCCATTTTCATCCAGTGGGATCTGCAAACCCATGGATTCGGTTCTCATAGCTCAGAGGTTGCTGTGGGGTCTTGACCTATGCCTGGGGCACAGGATTTGTGGCAAATGTTGAGCCTCTTGGTTAACTTGTGCAGTTGCTGAGCCTTATCTTGAATGAGCGGGGTATTGTGTTTACTATGACTTGCCCTCCCCACCAAAGTCTGCCCTCCTATGAGGTTGTTTCAACTCCCTGAAACTACTGGGTGTGCATAGGGAGGGGCCAATCAAGCAGGTGTTCCTGTTTGTCCCTGTTCTTTCTTCCCCAGAGGCCCAACAACAAAGAGCAAGAAGCTTTCCTTTTTTTCAGACCCTTTCCCACGTGCAGGTGATGGAGGCTGAGGATCCCTGTGAATGGGGAATACTGTGAATAGAGCATTGTACCTGGGAGGCTGCTGCATGGAGCGGAAGGAAGTCTGCCGGCCTGGGAATGAGGAGGCCCACTCTGAAGTGCCCACTCCAAAACTAATTTGATGGAGGATCATGGAAAATGTCCTTGTCCTCTCTAGGCTCTTTTCCTTGGCTGTAAGAGGAGCATGGGGATGCCTGCTCCAGAGGGAGAGTGCAAGGATGGGTTGTGGAGCCTGATAGGGCACAGGGGCTGGGAATCACTTGTGCCAGCCCTTGGGAGAAGGGGCAGGCAGAGGGAGAGCTTAAGCCAAGAGAAGGGGTTTGAGCTTTATTCTGGAAGGAGTGGGGAGCCAAGGGCTTCTGAGCAGGGGAGGGAGGTGATTGGGGACCTAGATCTGCCTGAATCTTTAAAAGATCAGCAGCAAAGAAGGCAAGAAAGCCAGGCTGCAGCTGGGAGACAGAAAAGGCAGTGGTTTCTGTCAAGGGGCCCTGCTTGCATCCAGAGATCTCTCGGCTTAGGAAATTCCACTTCTGGAGAGGCAGCCTGGACCAGGTGGGGAGAAGGGGGACCAGACGTGGTATGGTGCGATGAGGAGGACGGAAGCCTGCCGAGCCTTGGTCTGAGGAACAAAAGCTTAAGTCAGACATGCGGAACATATCTAAAGGACCAGTCGTGTGGCTGTAGGTGCAGAGGCTCCAGCCCAGCAGGCGGATGTTACACAGCCAGCCCTCGGGGTAGATCCCGTGTTCTCATCTTTTCTCTAGCCCCAGTCCTTACCGGAACAGTAGAGGCTTAACAAACATTTGCAGGAGAAGGAGATTTGGGCTTGACATGGTGAGACAAACTTCCTAACAATAAGAACTGCCTGGGCCTGGCATTGTGGCTCATGCCTATAAGCTCAACTCTTTGGGAGGCTGAGGCGGGGGGATCACTTAAGCCCGGGGGTTTGAAACCAGCCTCGGCAATATAGTGAGACTTTATCTTTACAAAAAATTTCAAAATTAGCTGGGCATGATGGCACATGCCTGCTGTCCCAGCTACTCAGGAGGCTGAGGCAGGAGGATTGCTTGAGCCCAGGAGTTTGAGGCTGTAGTGAGCTATGATTGCACCACTGCACCTCAGCCTGGGCCACAGAGTGAGACCCGCTCTCAAAATAAATAAATAAAGAACCATCTGGAAATAAGCTCCCGGGCCTGGGGGTAGTGAGATCCCTGTCATTCGCTGGCAGCAAGTGCTCACTCGAGCAGGAAGTGGAGGACAGCCAGTGTGCGTGTTGTGGGGATGCTCATGTCATGGAGGGAGGGGCTGACCACTGAGGCCTGGGCTGCTGCTCCCTCCAGCTCTGCAGGTACAGGGTCTCAGGCTGCAGTAAGCAGACCCCCTGAGTGCTGCCTGGGGGCCCAAGGCATCCCTGGGTTAGAGGAGACTTCAGTGCCTTCAGAAAGGAGGGTGATACCCTGAGAGGGCCGGGAGAGCAAGGTGGGTTCTGCCAGTGCTGGCCCTGCCTGCCAGAACTCCTCAGCAGGACCCAGGAGTGGGAGAGAAGGAAGCCATGTGAGGAGATTGTGGGAAAGGCGGGGGTGCTGGCCACCTCCGGGGCTGGCTGGGCTTCTGGATGGATCTACACCCCCATGGAGTAGACATCCTGCTGAGAGAGGGAGAAACCCATGGGAGATGGGAGGACCCAATTCCTAGGTGGCCAAGTCCCCCGAGGCCAGCCGTGTTTCCATGCTTGGGCAGGTCTGGGCTGACAGCAGTGGCACTTGCCCCAGCGGAGGCGGGCTCTGTCCCCTGCTGGCTGTTTTTCCCCTAATTGCAGAGCATGCTGTCCGCAGGCCCCAATTAAGGGTAGTTACAGGACCTATGAGATGACTGCGCCACACTGGATCCCCCGGCTCTTCAGTCTCTTCCAGGACTAAAACTCTTCAGCAAAATCTAAGCATCTGGAGCAAGACTTAGAGCCCTTCTCCCCTCTCTCCAACTCCAAACAAAATTAAAACAGGAAGAGCCTGCCCTCTGAGAGGGTTGGTCTTAGGTAGACACAGCAAAGGTTTCTAGAGAATTCCCTATTGGTTCAGGCACTTACCTCACCAGATCCTTCCAGGAGCCGAAGTAGGAGGTCTAGTTACTATCTTGGTTTTATGGCCGGGGAAAATAAGGCTCAGAGAGGTGAAGCCACTTGTCCTGGGACACACAGCTAATGACAGCAGAGCCAGGATTTGAACTTCCAGTTTGTCTGACTCAGAGCTGAGCAGTTACCCTTGCTGCCTGCTTTCACTGCCACACTGGATGGGGTTGAATGAGGGGCACTGAGAGAAGGTTCTTTGACCTTCCCCATTCCTTGCTAAGGGATCCCATTTATTCTATTTATTTAAATTTTTTTTTTTTTTTTTTGAGACAGGGTCTCACTTTGTCACCCAGCGTGGAGTGCATGGGACGATCTTGGCTCACTGCAACTTCCACCTCCTGGGTTCAAGGGATTCTCGTGCCTCAACCTCCTGAGTAGCTGGGATTACAGGCACACGCCACCACTCCTGTCTTATTTTTGTAATGTTAGTAGAGATGGGATTTCACCAGGTTGGCCAGGCTGGTCTCAAACTCCTGGCCTCAGGTGATCCGCCCACCTCAGCCTCCCAAAGTGCTGGGATTACAGGCGTGAGTCACTGTGCCTGAGCCCAAATCCTACTTCTAATACCTTATGGCAAGGGGAAATTTCCCTACTATCACTGGTTTTTGGTTCAACCCTATGTGGTTGGCAGGGGAGCTCCATCACGCCCATTCTACAGATGGAGAAAATGAAGTCAGAGCAGGTGGCTGGCAGAGGCAGAACATGAACTCAGGTCTGTCTGACTTCCAGTGTCTGGGTTCTTTTTCCCATCCCACAGCTTCCAAAAACCAAGGACCAAGGCTTGCCATGGAGCCAAGCCCAGGGCTGGGCCAGTGAAGGCCATCCCAATGGCTGTGGCTGTACCTGACCTTCCCCTCCTGTCACTCTGCAGGTGCCACCCCGGGTGAAGGATGCCACTCTGGGTGTTCTTCTTTGTGATCCTCACCCTCAGCAACAGCTCCCACTGCTCCCCACCTCCCCCTTTGACCCTCAGGTAAGCAGACCCTGGGGAAAGTTCCCACCACTCCCAAGCCATCCCTGCCATGGGGCAGGCGTTAGTGAATGCAGACTCAGCCCATCAGCTGGGCCCTGGCTATGTCTCCAGGCAGCACCCACTGCCCGTCCTTGCAGAGGAGGCAGACACAGCTTCACAGAGGTCACTCAGAGGGGTCTGAGTCTCTCTTGGGGTGAGTGGGACAGATGGCAACAGAAGGATCTTGCAGAGACATGGCGAGTGCAGCCACGACTGTCCTCTCGCCTGGCCTCCACCCCGCCCTCTGACCCCTGACTCCTTCCGCACAGGATGCGGCGGTATGCAGATGCCATCTTCACCAACAGCTACCGGAAGGTGCTGGGCCAGCTGTCCGCCCGCAAGCTGCTCCAGGACATCATGAGCAGGCAGCAGGGGTAAGCAGGAGTTCTAGTGATTTCTTCCCACACCCTGCAGCAGAGTCTGCAGGAGCTTGTTCCCTACAGGGGACCAGGGACCAATTCAGATCTCTTCCTTGGCACAGCAAGTGTCATTTCTGGACTTCCCATAGCAAAAGGGTTCCAGCGTTAAACCTCAACTTACCTCCATGCCTACCACGTGTCTCTTCAGGCTAGGCTCCGACAGTAACAACACTGGTAGTAGTTACCATTTAATCATGACTCCATGCCAAAAACAAAGGCTCTGCCCTAGGACATTTACAGACACTTGGCACAGTGCTGGGCACACAGATGCCCTTGGTAGTGTCAGCTACTATTATTCTTAGTTTCTTGCTTTCTTTTTTTTAGAGACAGGGTCTCATTCTGTTGCCCAGGCTGGAGTACAGTGGAATGATCATGCCTCATTGTAACCTCAAATGCCTGGACTCAAGCGACCCTCCCATCTTAGCCTACCAAGTAGCTAGGACTACCAGTGTGCACCACCACAACTGACTATTTTATTTTTTGTAGAGATGGGGTCTCACTATTTTGCCCAGGCTGGTCTCGAACTCCTGGCCTCAAGTGATCCTCCCACCTTGGCCTCCCAAAGCATTGGGATTATAGTTGTGAGCCACCTTGCCCAGCTTTTAGTTTCTTCTTTAATCTTCATAACAACCCTTATCCCCATTGTACAGGGTTAATAGCTCTTTTTTTTTTTTTTTTTTTTTTTTTTGAGATGGAGTCTCTCTCTGTCCCCCAGGCTGGAGTGCAGTGGCACAATCTCGGCTCACTGCAAGCTCCCCCTCCCGGGTTCACACCATTCTCCTGCCCCAGCCTCCCGAGTAGCTGAGACTACAGGTGCCCGCCACCATGCCCAGCTAATTTTTTGTATATTTTAGTAGAGACGGGGTTTCACCATGTTAGCCAGGACGGTCTCGATCTCCTGACCTCGTGATCTGCCCGCCTCGGCCTCCCAAAGTGCTGGGATTACAGGTGTGAGCCATTGCGCCCTGGCCCAGGGTTAATAGCTTTTAAAGGACACACAAAGAGTGGCAGAGTTTGGAGCCAAACTGCCTGACTCTATAGCCTATACGTTTTTTAGTTTTTACTTTGAAAAAAATCTCAAACTTACAAAAAAGTTGCAACAAAAGCACAATGGACTTCCATATACACTTCCAATTCCTAACATTTTATCACATTTGCTTACTCTATATCTATAGCTAGATATAGATACATACACACAGAAACACATATGCACATTAAGTATTCTTATCATTTTTGTTGAACCATTGGAGAGTAAATTGCAGTCATCATGACCCTTTACCCTTAGGTACTTCTATATGTGTTTCCTAATACCTAACCAAAGGACATCCCCTTACATAATCATAATATAATTATCAATTATAATCCATATTCAAATTTTACCAGTTGTCCCAAAATGTCCTTTATAACAATTATTTCTTTTTCTGATCTGGGACCCAATCCAGGATCATGGATACCATTTAGTTGTCATGTCCCTTCAGTTTCTTTTAATCTGGAATCGTTCCTCAGTCTTTCATGACATTGACAGTTTTGATTAGTAAAGGCTAATGATTTATAGAATGTCCCTCATGTTGAATTTGCCAGACATATCCCCATGATTAGAGGATGCGTTCCTCTAATGATGATTAGAGGAATCAGGTGATGCATTCACAGAAGTAGTGTTGTGTCCTTCTCAGTGCCTGGTATCAGGAGGCACAGGATGGCAATTTGTGCCATTATTGGTGGATTATTGGTAGATGGTAACTTTGATCAGTTGGTTAACATGGTGTCTGCTAGGTTTCTCCTCTATAAAGTTATTTTTCCCTCTATCATTAATAATCTGTGGGGAGACGTTTTGCAACTGTGTACACTTGTACTTCTGTGCTCTTCATTACTATATATACTGCCTCCCTAAGTGTGGCTGAATCTAATTCAGTTGGGTAGAAGAGTCCACACCAGATATTGAAATAGGCATAGGGATATACCCCTGCCTTTCCACATCCTACCCAAATAGCAACTAGTTCTCTTTTTCTAACCACACAGAGAGAGCAACCAAGAGCGAGGAGCAAGGGCACGGCTTGGTCGTCAGGTAGACAGCATGTGGGCAGAACAAAAGCAAATGGAATTGGAGAGCATCCTGGTGGCCCTGCTGCAGAAGCACAGGTATGGGTGTGTGTGCATGGGTGCATCTAGGGACTTCAGGGCTTCCTACCCCGTGGTTTGCCAGGAAAAGGAAAAAATCCACTCCTCTCTGAAGGTATGGGGCTCTGCCAAACAAACCAAGAACAAGGACCCTCCTGACAGACATTAAGAACTAGGAGAGTGGCTGGGTATGGTGGCTCACCTGTAATCCCAACACTTTGGGAGGCCAAGGTGGGTGGATCATCTGAGGTCGGGAGTTCAAGACCAACCTGGCCAACATGGCAAAACCCTGTCTCTATTACAAATACAAAAATGAGCCAGGTGTAGTGGCTCACGCCTGTAATCCCAGCCACTCGGGAGGCTGAGGCAGGAGAATCGCTTGAAGCTGGGAGGCGGAGGTTGCAGTGAGCTGAGATCGCACCATTACACTCCAGCCTGGGTGACAGAGCAAGACTCTGTCTAAAATAAAAAAAGAAGAAGAACTAGGGGAGTGCCCAGGTGCAGTGGCTCATGCCTATAATCCCAGCACTTTGGGAGGCTGATGGGGAAGGATCACTGGAGGCCAGGAGTTTGAGACCAGCTTGCCCAATATAGTGAGATCCCGTCTCAATCAGTCAATCAATCAATCAATATTAGGAGAGTTCTTTAGTCATGAAGGGTGGAAAGTGTCTGATGGAGACCGCATCTTATCCATGGCTGTATCCCAGTGCGGAGCCAGAGGCCAGGCTCAGTGTCCATGCCCAAAAATGTTACTCACCAAATGGTTCCGTGATACGACCCAGAAATCTGAATTTTAACAGGTGTTCCCAAGGATTCGGCTGCAGGTGAACTGACAGGCATGCTCTGGTTCCCTTGCCAAGTTCAAAAAACTATCAAGCCAAAGACAGACCAGCCCTCCCACACCCTGTGGTAGATGAGTGTGCGCAGACACACGATCAGCAGACGAGAGACGTGATGACTGTCGTTCCCCAGCTCACTGGCCCTCACGTTTCTCCTGGGAGTCTACAGAGGAGGAAAAGTGAGGCAAAGACGGGGCGGCAGCTGGCCCCAAGTCAGGGAATGGCAGGCCCAGACCTGTTTTGCCTCCCTGGAACTTCTTTGCACAAAGCCCCCACTTCATGGGCAAAGTTTCCCAAAAATGTCGTGGTTGTTTGGAGAAACTCTGCTGGGGTTTAGAGCCTGATTTGTTGTTGTTGTTGAGATGGAGTTTCACTCTCATCACCCAGGCTAGAGTGCAGTGGCGTGATCTCGGCTCACTGCAGCCTCTGCCTCCAGGGTTCAAGTGATTCTCAGCCTCCCGAGTAGCTGGGATTACAGGCGCCTGCCACCATGCCTGGCTGATTTTTGTACTTTTAGTAGAGACAGGGTTTCACCATGTTGGCCAGGCTGGTCTTGAACTCCTGACCTCAGGTGATCCACCCTCCTTGGCCTCCCCAAGTGCTGGGATTACAGGCACCCGCCACCACGCCCGGCTAATTTTTTGTACTTTTAGTAGAGATGGGGTTTCACCATGCTGGCCAAGTTTGTCTCGAACTCCTGACCTCAGGTGATCCACCTGCCATGGCCTCCCAAAGTGCTGGGATTACAGGCACCCGCCACCACGCCCGGCTAATTTTTTGTACTTTTAGTAGAGATGGGGTTTCACCATGCTGGCCAAGCTTGTCTCGAACTCCTGACCTCAGGTGATCCACCTGCCATGGCCTCCCTAAGTGCTGGGATTACAGGCATGAGCCACCGCACCCGGCCTAGAGCCTGATTTAACTGCGAGCACAAGCAGGTCCCAGTGTGGCTCTGCTGGGCACTTCTGGTCCAAGCTATTAAGCAAATCCAGTTCCCAGCAGAGCGCTCCATGGCCTCTCTCACCTTCTTCCCAACCCGATTAGACACCACCAGCCCAGAGATTTCACCACCTACAAGCAGCACCAGGCCTACGGCAGATGACAGGAGAGGCGACAACCAGTCTGGGAGGCGGGAAGAACACCTGGGCCCCAGGCCTGTTTCTGCAACTAGCGGCACAGCAACACACTTCTTCGTTTCGACTCTGTGAAAGGAGGGGTTAGCTCTTACCATCTCTAGGGTCCGCAAGACAAGAGTTCAAAAATAATGTCTCTAAGAAGAAGGCCTCCTCTGTGCCTTGCAGGCTGGGATTAAGTAATTGTTCACCTGCTATGGCTCTCATCAGGCCCCAGTAGGGTGGATGGCTCCATGGAGGGCTAATCCTAAGAATGCAGGCTTTGTTCCCGCGAGTTAAAAGCCAGAGGCTTCACGGAGATTGAAATCACAGAGCCCGCAGAGCTGGCAGGAAGGGCCCCGAAGGCTGCTATAGCCATTGTTCCCCCTCCAGCTCAACTGCTGCAAATACCAGGATATCACTGGTGAGCAGGAATAAGTTCCTGCTTTAGAGTGCAGAGTAGAGCCATGTGACAGATGGCACACTTTTGCAGCCATCATACATTGTGTCCACGTAACAGCCCTGTAAGGAAACTGAGGCTCGGGTTTAGCCATCTTCCCACCCCTGTAAAGACCATCCAGTGACTATGACATGCCACACTCTGGACCAGAGGCATAGCAGGGTACAGGACAGCAGCGACCCCTGCTCTCATGGAATTCATAACACACCGAAGCAGCAAGGAACTAGACACGTTCTTGTACAGTCAATTACTTCATTGTGATGAATGGGAAGAGATGCTGGGGAGTGGTGATGGTGAGGCTGGGAGAACGCTGAGCCTGTCTGGGGATTAGAGGAAGCTTCTTCAAGGCGAAGTGACTGGCCCAGGGTCTCGGTGGGAGTTGGCTGGCAGAGCAGAGAGCAGGGGCTAAGCCTGGGACTCGCCTTGCTGGCATGCTTGCGCATCCTTCCCTCCACCCCACACTGCCTCTTTTGGAATCCAAAAGGCCAGCTCCTGTCACGGGAGCACCCGTCACCCTGGTTCCATGCATCCCACTCTAGCCACCCTTACTTCAATTCCCCGGATTGAGCTTGATCTTTCTTTCTGCAGCAGGAACTCCCAGGGATGAAGATTCCTCCTGTGACCCGGGCTACCTGTAGCCAAAATGCAACTGGATCCAGTTAATCCTCTCATTTCTGACCCACTTTTTCCTTTGAAAATACAATAAAATTCCCCCATACCGGTGTGCATTTAAATGTTCTTTTCTCTTCAGCCTAATTTTTTATGTGTTTTACATAGTTACATTTCCCAAAGTGGTATTACGAGGTGTAATTTTTTTTAAAGCTAACATTTACCAAGCACGCAGAGTGCAAACCAGGCAGCTTCATGCATAGGATCTCATATGCTCCTTACACAGGCTGATGGAGGGTACTGGTATCCTCCTCCTTTCACAGACAAGGAATTGAGGCTCAGAAAGTGTAACCAAATTGCCCACAGTCACACCGTGCAAATGAGAGCGCTGGGATTCAAATCCAGGCAAGTCCAACTCAGAACCAGCTCTTAACCACATTCAACTAACTTCGATCAAAGTCATCCTTCACCCACGTGTGATTTGCTCTTCTATAAGCAATACCACTTATTGATTCAACAAACTTTTTTTTTTTTTTTTGAGACAGAGTTTCACTCTTGTTGCCCAGCCTGAAGTGCAATGGCATGATCTTGGCTCACCACAACCTCCGCCTCCCAGGTTCCAGTGTTTCTCCTGCCCTCGCCTCCTGAGTAGCTGGGATTACAGGCATGTGCCACCACGCCCAGCTAATTTTGTATTTTTAGTAGAGATGGGGTTTCTCCATGTTGGTCAGGCTGGTCTCAAACTCCTGACCTCAGGTGATCTGCCTGCCTCAGCCTCCCAAAGTGTTAGGATTACAGGCGTGAGCCACTGCACCCGGCCTTCATTCAGCAAACATTTATAGAATACCCACTCTGTGCCAGGTACTGTTCTGGGCACTGGAGAGATAGTCATGAACAAAGTCCCTGACCTTATAGAGCTTATATTCCAATGCGTGTGTGGTGGGGGAGAGAATAATAAACACAAGTCAATATAGAATATGTCAGATGTTGGCAAGTGCAAAGGATAAAGCTTTAAAGGGCCAGGGAGTGCTGGGGGTATAATTTGATCTACACTGTGTATATGTGAAGGCCTCACTGATGATGTGACATTTGAGTAAAGACCTGAGGAAGAGAGGGAGTTGGCTTTGTAAATATCAGAGTAAAGAACATTTCAGGCAGAGTGAAAACTCAACAAAGGCTTAGAGGCAGCAGTGTGGAAGGACTAGCAAGGGGATCAATGTGGCTACCTGGGCCAGAGCAAGGATGTCAGTGGAAAGAAAAGAGTCCTGGAGGAGCAGGAGGCCGGCTCATGGGGACACTTGGAGGTGTTAAAAAAAAAAAAAGGAACAAATTGACTCTTTAGTGTTTTTTTTGTTTGTTTGTTTGTTTGTTTTTTGAGATGGAGTCTCACTCTGTTTCCCAGGCTGGAGTGCACTGGCACGATCTCGGCTCACTGCAACCTCCACCGCCAGGGTTCAAATGATTCTCCTGCCTCAGCCTCCCGAGTAGCTGGGATTACAGGCGTGTGCCACCACACCCAGCTAATTTTTGTATTTTTTTAAGTAGAGACAGGTTTACGCCAGGTTGGCCAGGCTGGTCTTGAACTCCTGACCTCAGGTGATCCACCTGCCTCAGACTCCCAAAGTGCTGGGATTACAGGTGTGAGCCACCACCCCCAACCCAAATAGAGTTTTAAAGATTGAATTGGCTTTTGTTAGCAGTTCATGAACTGGGCAGCATCCTGAGGGGGACTCTGATAAGCTGAGTGGGAGTGGGCCTTACAGGCAAAAAGGGGCTAAAGAAGCAGAAACAGGGCACGAAAAGCAGATTGGTCATTTCAAAGTTACCTTCCTTCTGGGGTTAAAGCAGAGGGGACTTCCTGATTATGCAAGCTAAAGTAGACTGGACCCCTTCCTTTTTTTTTTTTTTTTTTTTTTTTTGAGACAGAGTCTTGCTTTGTCACCCAGGCTGGAGTGTGGTGGCATGATCTCAGCTCACTGCAACCTCTGCCTCCTGGGTTCAAGTAATTCTCCTGCCTCAGCCTCCCGAGTAGCTGGGATTACAGACATCTGCCACCACGCCTGGCTAATTTTTGTATTTTTAGTCGAGACAGGGTTTCACCATGTTGGCCAGCCTGGTCTCGTACTCCTGACCTCAGGTGATCCACCCGCCTCAGCCTCCCAAAGTGCTGGGATTACAGGCGTGAGCCACTGTGCCTGTCCCAACTGGACCCCTTCTGATTGGCTGCTGTGAATCTCATATTTCAGAAAACTGGACCATTTTAAAGTTCTGTTTGATGACATGGCACTTAGTATGTCATGGGTGACTCTATTCTGGTTGGGTCTGGTTTGTTGGGGCCCGCCTAGTGCAAGAGCTCAGTTCAAAACAGCGGCCTCCCATAAATGTTCTTTAACAAGGTCACAGTAAGGATTTGGATCCCAAACTTGGTGAGATGAAAGCCATGGTGGAGTTTAAGCAGAAGAATGACATGCTGTGACCTATGCTGAAAATCACTCTGAGAAATGGTCAAACTCTAGATACATTCTTAGGGCGGAAGCCATTTGCTGATAGACAGGGTGTAGGGATTGGAGAGAAGTCAAGAATGACTCCTGAGTTTTTGGCCCAAGGATGGAGGATGGGAGGATGGAGTTGCCACTTAGCAGCTTTGGGGGTTGGGGGAATATTAAGAGTTTAGGTTTGAATGTTGAGTGTGAGGTGCCTATGAAAGGTCCAAGTGAGGAAGTTGAGTAGGCACATGGCTGTACAGGTCCTAGTTCAGGAGAGAGTCCCCTGAGTTCAGGGGAGAGGTCTGGACAGCTGGTTTGGCTGGTAGTTGTCACCATTTAGACGGTCGGTCTTTAAAGTCAAAAGACTAGTTAGATTACTAAGGAAGAATATAGGAAGAGTAAAGTCCAGGGACTGATCCCCTGGAAACCCTACATTTAAAGTTTAGAAGAAGGCCGGGTGCAGTGGCTCACGCCTGTAATCCCAGCACTTTGGGAGGCCAAGGCAGGTGGATCACTTGAGGCCAGGAGTTCAAGACCAGCCTGGCCAACATGACGAAATCCTGTCTCTAGACTAAAAATACAAAAATTAGCCAGGCATGGTGGTGCACGCTTGTAATCCCAGCTACTCAGGAGGCTGAGGCAGGAGAATCACTTGAACCTGGGAGGCGGAGCTTGCAGTGAGCCAAAATCACACCACTGCACTCCAGCCTGGGCGACAGAGCAAGACTGTCTGAAAAAAAAAAAAAAAAAAAAGTTTTGAGGAAAGATGAGGAACCAGCAAAGGAGGCTGAGAAGTAGCAGGCAGTGAAGTAACAGGAAAACTCCTTCAAAGAAGAATCCCAGAAGCCAATGAAGAGTGTTTCTAGAAGAAAGGGGTGATCTGCTCTGCTAAATGCTGCTGATGGGACAAGTCAGTTTAGAACTGACCATGGAAGTGACCATGGAAGCCACTGATGACCTTGGCAAAGAGAAATCAGGTGTAGTGAAGGCCAAAGTCTGATTTGAGTGGGAGAAATGGGAGAAGAGGAATCAGAGCTGGTGAGTATAGATTTGGCTGTGCAATAGGGTGGCCCCTAGACATATGTGGCTAACGAACACTTGAAATGTAGCTGGTACAAACTGAGATGTACTTTAAGTATAAAATAAACACTGGATTTAGGCTGGGGCATGGTGGCTCATGCCTGCAATCCCAGCATTCTTGGGAAGCCAAGGAGGGAGGATCACTTGAGGATAGGAGCTCAAGACTAGCCTGGGCAACATAGCTCGACTCTGCCTCTACAAATAAAAATTCAAAAAAAATTAGCCAGGCGTGGTGACACACACCTGCAGTCCCAGCTACCTGGGAGGCTGAGGTGGGAGAATTGTTGAGCCCAGGAGTTTGAGGCTGCAGTGAACTATTATTGTACCACTGCACTCCAGCCTGGGCAACAGAGTGAGACTCTGTCTCCAAAAAAAGAATAAATAAAACAAAACACCCCACAGATTAAAGGTCCAAGTAGGAATCACTCAGATTTAATATGAAAAAATACAAAATACCTCAGTATTTTTATACTGATCACATATTAAAATGATATTTTAGATATATGGGTTAAATAAAATATATTAAAATTAATTTCACTTGTTTCTTTTTAACTTTTTTATCTTGGTTTCCAGAAAATGTAAAATCACCTATGTAGCTTGCTTTGTATTTCTATTGGACAGCGCTGGTAGAGATTATTTTTTTGAGAAATTTTGCTATAAAGGGAAGCAGAGAACTGGAGCCACTGACCCGAGGCTCCCGCATCAGTGATTACCCAACTCTTGCTATTCATGAGCCATTTTATCTGGGCCAAATATCGCCACACATCACCTGCCCTCTGCGTGCCTCTGATCAGAATCTGTGAACTTACTGGGGTGACTGAAATGTTCTATATTTCAATTTGGGTGGTGGTTATACCAGTGTTGTCACATATAAAAAATCATTGGGTTGTTCACTTAGGATCTGTGCATTTTGCTGTACGTAAATTAAACCTAAAAAAAACCTGACAACTGTGAAAAGTCTAGATGATGGGATGTCTGTTTTGATTTAAAAAGTGCAAAAAGAGGGGCCAGGTGCAGTGGCTCAAGTCTGTAATCCCAGCACTTTGGGAGGCCGAGGCGGGCGGATCATTTGAGGTCAGGAGTTTGAGAGAAGCCTGGGTAACATGGTGAAACCCCACCTCTACTAAAAATACAAACATTGGCTGGGTGTGGTGGCATGGGCCTGTAATCCCAGCTACTAGGGAGGCTGAGGCAAGAGAATCAACGTGAACCCAGGAGGTGGAGGTTGCAGTGAGCCAAGATGACGCCACTGTACTCCAGCCTGGGTGACCGAGCAAGACTCTGTCTCAAAAAAAAAAAAAAAAAAGTGCGAAAAGAATCACAGCATCTTAACATTGATGGAGTGAACAATCCCACCTCTCCATTTTGTAGCCTAAGACAGTGTCGTCAGGGAAGGAATGACCCAAGCTCGAAGGGCCTGGCAGCCAGGTCTCTGGTCTCCCAGCACCAGAACTATATAACCAACTCAGTTCCTTCCAGGGTAAAGACCACCTGCTCTCCCTGGGCGCCTGAGAAAAAAAACGTGAAGCCTGGGAAACCGTCTGCAGGGGGCCACTGAGGCGGCTCCACGGAGGAGACAATCAGAACAATGGGAGACAAAAGCCCCCTCGGAGGAAAAGGCTGGCCTTAGAGGGCAGGTGGCCCACTTCAACCAAGAGAGGCAGGCACAAAGGAAGGGGCTGTGAATGGGAGGCGCGCCCGGCCTGCCCCAAGACCCCCTCCTTCCTCCCAGACCCACCTGCTCATCTCTTTCCTTGGCCTATCCTGACAAAAGCAAAAGCCGAGGGCTCTTTCAACTTCCAATTAGTTTTTCAAATAAAATAACGACTGCTGGGACCTGCTGCTACTTGTGGTTTTGGAGGTGAATGCAATTATAGGGGAAAAACCACCATAGCAACAACTCCAGTGCTCCATACCATTAACCACGGCACGAATGGCGTCGGAGAGACTCCACTTGCCCCGCAGAGGAGCTGGGAGCTTCCCACTCCGGGGAGGGTCCTACTTAAGACGGAGTGCTATTTTTCTCCCTAAAGAAATGCTCTAATCAACGGGGGACTTGTCGCTTTTAATGATAATCTCTTCTGTTTGTATTAACTTAGAGTTCACAAAGAGGCTTCCCATCCATTACTTCATTTGTTCTCTACAACAGGCCCCTGAGGAAGGCAGGGCAGGGCACATTGGCCCAGCTGGATCCAACTAGAGGTCAGATTCAACTAGAGTCGCTCCAGGTTGGCAGGACGGGACTGATGGGGCGGGGAGGGAAGGCAACACTCTCTCGAAAAGGTTGCTTTAAGACTCCAGGCCCCTCAGGAAATGCTGGGGAGGAAATGAGGGAGCTGGGGTGTCGAGTAACTTGAACTAACAGGTGAATGTAGACCTGGTACAAACTGTTGACTGGGCTCCTGTTAACACCACCTGGGAAATAATAATGATGACAATATCTGCGCTATTGGGAGCAAACACTGACTCAATGCTAAGTGTCAGGCACTGTGGTATGTGTTGTGGCTGTGGCCTCCTCTAATCCCTATAAAACCCTCAGAGGTATGATCCCCATTTTTACTGATGGGAAACCAAGGCCCAGAGAGGTAAAGGTACAAAAGGACACACAGCTAATGGGGGAACTCGAAGCAGCTCTGACTCTAAAGCTGGCATGTCTTGTACTCCTCAGAGAAGGCCAGGCCCAGGCGCTACTGCAGCGAATCATTTGAGTGATGAATCCAGTGGATTTCATGAATTATAAGAGAGAGGCCTGCTGTCAGCTCTGGACTCCCAGACTGTCTTGGCTATAGCAACCAGGTTATTCCCCTGCAGCACTGCTCCAGCACTGAGAGCCGAGTCCCTTTAAGAGGCTTTGAGGC
Organism: Homo sapiens; assembly: GCF_000001405.40. Taxonomy (NCBI): domain Eukaryota; kingdom Metazoa; phylum Chordata; class Mammalia; order Primates; family Hominidae; genus Homo; species Homo sapiens. The sequence goes on along the minus strand of NW_025791812.1, from coordinate 154,288 downwards.
CAGGTGCAGTGGCTCCTGCCTGTAATCCTAGAACCTTGGGAGGTCGGGGAGATTGCTTGTGCTCAGGAGTATGAGACCAGCCTGGGCAACATTGCAAAATCCCATCTCTACCAAAAATACAAAAATTAGCCCAGTGTGGTGGCACGCGCCTGTAGTCCCAGCTACTCCAGAGGCTGAGGTGGGGGGATCACCTGAGCCTGGGAGGTTGAGGCTGCAGTGAGTCGTGATTGCACCACTGCATTCTGGCCTGAGCAACAGAGCAAGACCCTGTCTCAAATAAAATAAAAAATAAAAAATAAAAAAAAAGGCTTTGCCCAGTGGGCAGGGTCAGACAGACAGCATCTGCCTCTGCTATACCCCAAAATAAAACTCAGGCTGGCCAGGCGTGATGGTGCATGCTTGTAGTCCCAGCTACTCAGGAGGCTGAGGCAAGAGGATCCCTTGAGTTCAAGGTCAGCCTGGGCAACATAGCAAGACCCCATCTCTTTGTTTGTTTTGTTTTAAAAAAGGTCCTAAGAGAAAAATCAGTCCCCTTTACCACAGCCCCTAAAAGCCAAGTTTGTTCTGGCTTCTATCCCAGCGAGGATGCCGTTCCTGCCAGTGACACCCTGGCTGCTTGGCCTGCTTCCAGTCAGAATGTGCCGTGCTCTTGCCCCAGAGCCTCCATGCTGGCTGATTCTCTGGCCGGAGTGCTCTTCCTCAGCTTGGCATAGGCGCCTTCTCATTCTTCAGGTCTCAGCTGAGACCTCCCAAGCCATCAAGGTAAGAACTGCTTCCTCTGAGGCCCTTCTCACATGTGTGATCACTGCTTCCTTTCTCCCTCAGCTGGGTGCCCGTGGGCTGTACCTGGACCAAGGGAAGGGACTGGATCTGTCTTGCTCCCTGTGGTAGCTCTGGACACAGAACACAGCCTGGCACATGGCAATGTTTACTGGGCTCTGTTCTCCAGCTCCCATCTGAGTCTGCAGGCCAGCCCCAAACCAGCCCGGGAACCCCTTACTTAGCTGTGCCAGCCGTTTCTCCAAAAAGCTGTTTCCCGACTTCCTTCCTTCCAGCCACTGGCTGTCCTTTGTTCCCAGTGACCAGGACACCCAGCAGCCTTTGTACTTCCACCCTCAGGCCCTACTACCCCTGCTCCACACCACTGTCCACCAGCCCCGCACCCAGTCTGTCTTCCAGGCCCGCACAGGTCTGGTGATAGGTGGCAAGTGTCCCTGCTCTCATCCCACACGCTGCTGGGGCTCTCTTTCCTCTCCAGTCTGAGCGGCTGAGGTCCCAGCACACCTAAGTAGGAACACTAGGAGCCGCCCAAGAGCAACAGGAAACCACCATCACCCCTTCCCCTCCGAGTGGGATAAGAAACTAAAAAGTGGAGGATCCCAAAGGTATATGCCTATGGGAGCCAGGCAGGTATCAGAGAAGCACAGTCGCCAGGTGGACTGGCGCAAGTGTCCTGTATGTGGACACCTGTGCGGGGAGGGGCTGACAAGCTGGAGCTTGCAGGCTCCATCCAAAGGGACGAGCTGCTATTCAGTGTCAGCTGACTGCTGCCGTTCAGGAATCAGGCCCGCCGTGGACAGCTCTAGTTTTCTCTTTCAGGAGAATCCAGAATCCAAAACCAAGATTTTTATATAAAATCTGTCTTCAAATGTTGGCAACTTACTCAATTTTTAAAAAAACACTACAGATCACAAGTTTGCAACCTCTGGGAAGGAGAAGCCTCCTTCCCATCTTAGAGGCATCCCTGTAACTGCCCACATCATCCTCTTACCTATAGGATCCCATTCAGAACGGCATAGAGTTCTAGAATCTTCTTTCCCTTTTTCCCAATCAAAATCCCAATTTCTTCACTGTAGTAAGGTCCAGCTAGTTGGGAAGCAATCTGATTAAAATAAAACAACTTCCAGACCCCCAATTCAATAAATACTATGAGGATTACCATATTTCACAAGTTAACTAAACTTATTATGTTTCAATTAATATTAGGTTGGTGCAAAAGTAATTGCAGTTTTTGCCATTCTAGAACTAGAGGCAATGGGCCAAGGCACATAACCGTAGGTCAATCAGGAAAGATGCCAAGTGCTAAGCTGCGTCAGCATTCAACTCCTTTAATCCTATGAGGTAGGTAGTTATCATCTCTCTTTTACAGAAACACAAAAGGAGGTTTACGGAGGTTAAACTACTTGCCCAAGGTCCCTCACCCTAGTAAGTGGCAACACTAGGTTTGCCTGGAACCAAAGTCTACGCAGTCAACCATGCTATGCAGTATTACTTCTCTCTGTGCTATTATATAACCTCATGTAATGGGCACAACTTCAGAGGGGGCATTCTTGAGATGTGGCCTTCTAGACTAAAGTCACTCAAGTGGTCAGTGCTATGGTTTGAATTTGTGTCCCTTGAAAATTCATGTTGCAACAAATCTCCATGCAAGTCTTTTTTTTTTTTTTTTTTTTTGGAGATGGAGTCTGGCTCTGTGGCCCAGGCTGGAGTGCAATGGCTCACCGCAACCTCCGCCTCCCAAGTTCAAGCTGTTCTCCTGCCTCAGCCTCCCAAGTAGCTGGGATTACAGGCATGCACCACCATGCCCACCCCTTGGCTAATTTTGGTTTTTTAGTAGAGACAGGGTTTCACCATGTTGGCCAGGCTGGTCTCAAAACTCCTGACTTCAAGTGATCCCCCTGCCTCGGCCTTCCAAAGTGCTGGGATTACGGACGTGAGCCTCCATGCCTGGCCCCAAGACAAGAGCCTTGAGCAGAGGTCCTAGCTGCAGTCCACCTGCACATTCCTGTTGTTTAGCTGTGTTCTTGCCAAGTCACACTCAGTATCTAACCTAACACAGAAAGATTCTCAAAAATGGGACTCAGCTCACAGAAAATGTTAAAGGGGATAAAAACCTATCCCCTTGGACCCCTAGAGGTCCAAATGGGGCCTTCAGATACCAACAGGGCTCCTATGCAGACAGCTGGTGCTCACTGCTGGAGAAGAAAAAAGGAAGCTGGCCTTTCCAGGCAGTTCTCAGTTCTGTTAGGAGCAAGGGGCAAGAAGGACCAAGAAAGGCCTGGAGAAATATGCTGGCATCAACAGCATTTCCAACTAAGTCCTCATGTCATATACCCAAGGACCCCACCACCCAAAAGTATGAGAATAAGCTCTCAATCAGGCCTTTGTTCCTATTGTTACCCTCTTTATTCCAAAACAATTACACATTTCAACTTTTCAAAAGCAACATCTGGGTAAGTTAGGAATATTCACAGCTTCTTACACAGTGTCAGAGAAAGAGACTATCTGAGCTCACCAGGTATCTGCTGTGTGTTGGGGAAACTGAAAAACAAGCAAAAGTATAACTACAATCTGGACTTTTTTCTTTTTTAAATAAAGTTTTTTTTTTCCATTTTTCTTCTCATACTGTGAATTGTTCTTGACTCCTTTTCTTGACATTCAGTTTTCAGAATTTCCATCTTTCTTCTGGAACTAATGTGCTGTTCTGAAAGAAAATGGAGACAAACACAGAATTACTGAAGGTTTCAGTTCACAGTTACAGTTCCTAACTGGTGACAACAGAGAGACTAAGGTACTCTCCCGCTCTAAGATCCCATTTATAAGGGAATAATCATTTATCTCCCAAGTCTATTTATGTATGCCCCATCTCATTTTACAAAAGAATGTGAGACAGCTAGTTCATAATTAAGCTGATGACAACTTAAATACAAATAACAAAACAAACTCAATAATAACTAAGAAAGTGGTATGTGACAACATAAGGAGATGAGGTAATTCCAGGCACACCTCTCACAGTGCAAGGCCAAAAACACAGTGTAAATTTCAATTAGATGAACAAAGAGCAAAGTTTAAATAATGCTCATCATCAATCTCCCAGACTCCAGCTCTGCCAACCAACACTTGGCCCTTCTGTAGCTTAGAACATGACATCCTGACCATTCATTACAGAAACCTGCACATTCCTGCCGTGTGGCCGTGTTCTTGCCAAGTCACACTCAGCATCTAACCTAACACAGAAAGATTCTCAAAAATGGGACTCAGCTCACAGAAAGTGTTAAAGGGGATAAGAACCTATCTCCTGTACTCTTTGTTTCCCCTCCGCTGCCTTTCCCTAGACTCTAAGGAGGGATGGGGAAGCACAATGAATGAAAATGACAATCTAGACAGACTGTGAAGCTGAGGAGGTGACTGCAGTGAGTAACTGATCCCAGCAGGCTCCAGCAAGCAGAGGCAGGGTTGCTGACACACACACACCATCCTTCAGTGGCAGCTCTTCCCAGGGGTGAGGACTAAGGTGATAATGATCCAGTCTTGCAGAATGGCAGACTCCAAACCCATTAATAAAGCAGTTCCAAAAGACATGCACAGGCATGGAATTAATCTTGAGGGCTGGGGTGTGCACCCCTAATTCCTTGCCAGTATTCAGAGGTTCTTAGGTACACTAATATGTGGGCATTCAGAAATGTTCATGCAGAAAGGATGGCATGAGTATGAAATAAGAACAGCCGAAGGGTAGTGGCCCACAACTCTTGACTGCGGCTAGAACTTACGTCCCACATTATGTCTGCTCAAATCAATGTCTGCCCTCAGATCAAGAACACTTTGCTACCAGGGGGTTTCCTTTCAAATGCTAGGAAATGCCAAATGTCCAAATGATCAAGTGACTTTCCTCTTCCTCAAGCAATGATTTGGGGATAGCAGGGTGGGAACGGACTTTAAAACTCAAGAGACTGAGTAAGGTGGCTCACGTCTATAATCCCAGCACTTTTAGGGGCCAAAGCAGGAGGATTGCTTGAGCCCAGGAGCTTGAGACCAGCTTGGGCAACATAATGAGACCCCATCTCTATAAAAAAAGTTCTTTTTAATCAAGAAAAGAAATCGACTTATTTAAAGAATTAAAGAACTCAACATGTAGCAGCAAGGACAGTTGCTGAAAGCAAATCTCAGACAGAGTGACTATAATGTAGGATGAAACCAAACGGGCATAGCCAGGGAGTGGGGGTGGGAGAAGGGTCGGACTCTAAAAGGGGCACCGGGGAGCTCTCTGGAGAGTGGCAATACCTATATCTTGACTGAGGTGGTGGCTACATGACTACAGAGGTTTTTCAGGATTCACAGAATTGTACACTAAAAAGGGTACATTTTTCTGCAGATAAATTACAACTCCATTAAACCTGGAAACAAACAAACAAACAAACAAACAAACAAACAAATGCAGTTCCCTTCTGTGTTGAGGACTAGGTGACCCAGCTTATGCTCACACATCCATGGAAAGGCTCCAAATACTATGCTTTTGTTGATCTCTCCTATTTTCAGAGGATTAGAAATTAGATGGTTTTGTGGCTTTGGCAGGGAAAGCCATTTCCAAGGCAAAGGATAAAGGAGAACATGACTTGAAAATTCAAATACCTCCCCTCCCTTTGTTGGTCTAGGGCAGGGGTCAGCAAACTGTGCCACTCAGGCCAAATCCAGCCCACCACCTGTCTTGGTGAATAAAGTTTTGTTGGAACACAGCCACACCCATTTGTTTATACAGTCTATGGCTGCTTTCACATGACAGTGACAGAGTTGAGTAGTTGGTGCCAAGAGACCATATGGCCAGTTAAGCCTAAAATACTGTCTGGCTCTTTACAGAAAACTTTTGCCAGACCCTGGTCTAGCGGAGCAGATCAGTGAAGCATCAGACTCTCCTTCTCCTTCCCTCCACTTCCCTCCCATCCTAGGACTGATATGCAGAAGGAGAATGAGTGGAATCTCACTTCACATTTTAGTCACATGGGGAGCAGCCCTTTTAACATACCCTGAGTGCTAGGAACCTGGATTCTGATGCTGGCTTTGATCTGTGGCCATCAGTCCTTCATAAATTACAGTCTCCCCAGACCACAATGTTTAGCCCAACTAGAGATCGGTGTTACAGAAAAGTCTAGAAACAGTGACAAGGTGTGCCAGGATTTGCCATGGGACCGTCATTTAATGAATTTTGGATTTGTCTTATCCTCATCTCAGCTGTCCTGGAAACAGAGAGAGAGGCTTGTCTATAAATAAGTAAGTACCCCACGGGATATAAGGGAGAATGAAGTCTTATACAGTCAAAGCCAGGCCAAAGCTGCTCACTGCAAAGTTATCCCATCAGCTGGGCTAACTCAGGAAGCTTTTGCCCTGGTCCAGTCACAACCTCATCTAGCAAGTTGAAAAGCAGCCTCAGAATTCAGCTGTGGCTTAGGGAGGGGTGGGAGGAGCAAGTGGGCTGAAAACTAGAGAGATAACTGACATGCATGAGGCGGGCAAGACGGGGAAGGGACCCTGCTTCTGGGATGAGTCCGCCCTTCATCTTTACCGTAGTGTCCTATATTTTGCCAATCTACTGCTCTGCTCTGCAGCGATCCTGCCAAAGGAAAGAGGGTTTGAGAATCAAGAAAGGACAGTGAGGGGAGAAATCAGCTGAGGAAAGAAATGACAAACACCCAACCAGAGCTTCCATTAGGGTCACTGATTTTTCCAGGGTAGAGTTCATTCTAGGACTCACAAAGAGGGCCACAGAAGAGTGGGCTTTAAGTTTTTGAATCGAATACATGAGCAGGGGAGAGGGAGGAGTTACTGATCCTTCTGGGATTCTGATAAAAACCATAGTCTCTCTCCCCATAAAATGCATACAACTTTAGGATTCCAGATTAGGAACTCCTGCTAAGCAGAACATAAACCAAATGGTTTCTACTCAATTCTTGTCTTGATTTTTTTCTTAATTTTTATTAATTTTTTGAGAGACGAGGTCTCACTATGTTGCCCAGGCTGGTCTCCAACTCCTGAGCTCAAGCGATCCTCCCGCCTTAGCCTCCCAAAGTGCTGGGATTATAGGCATAAGCCACCATGGCGGGCAGATTTCATTCTTCTCGAGTGAGCAACTTCCAGAAAAGAGAGAACTTAGCAGAGCAGTCTTTTGGCTCCCTGGGGGCCCAGGCAGGTGCTGCAAGGGAACAGGGTTCTGCTTTGCAAAAGCAACTGAGTCCTGGCTCTTTCTCAGGTACAATGCAGAACCACCAGGAAAAGGCTACTGGAGGGTGGCAAAATGAACCAGCTGCCACTGCTGGTGCTAAGGGAAGCTCTGGTGGGCCCTGGATTCCTACAGGAAAGCCAAGGAACACGTCTGTGCCGAGTCTCCATGGTGAAATGCTCAGAAAGCTCACAATGGAGACTCGGGCGGAGATGAGACATCTTCTCCCACCCACTGATGGTCTCCCTGAAAAAGCCTCTCTCTGATCCCAGCACCCTAACTGGCAGCCACGTTGAGGGTACACTATTGAGTTACATTCTTCCAGCAAACGTCCTGGATAGAAGAAAGCGGCACATCTGAAAACGATTTCCAGAGGTGAAAGCAATTCTGTTCTTACTGGCCTTTGCGTGTCTGAAATCACTCAGGTTCTAATAAAGTCAAATCAATGAGAAACACCTTTGTGACATTTAAATTTGCCTCCAATTCTGTTTAGAAAGTCAAGCTGCCAGCAAGCTGCCCTCATGTCAAGGTCTGTCTGACCATCCATGTGACTCTAAGGTTGTCTGGGTCCCGGGGAGATGGTGTAGGCTACTGAGGAGATACTCCTTGCTGGGAGCCTCTGCAAAACCTGCTGCAGCTTCTGTGGGAAATAACACAGACCTCGTGCTTCCGGGACAAGCTCCTGGAGCTGTGAGGGTTACAGAGGAGCAGCTCTCGGGGACATGTTGAGGGTGGGGAGGGCAGGGCAGGATTCTCTGTAGCAGCAGAGAATTTTTACACAGCTAACAAATTAATCTTCTGCCACATCTATGAATGCATTTTCATCTTCATAAAGCTAATAATTTTCCTCTCTCATTCTATTGTATTGGGGCATCAATTACAATGGTTGTAATACATTCAAAGCTGACCACTAAGGCTCTTTTCTGACTTCAAAGTGCTTCTGGCTTCTGTACTGGGCTAGATTAGGGTGTCAGACTTGCCCCTAAGAACACAAATCATTTTGCCACCTACCCTTCAAAGAGCTAGGCCGGCAGAGCTGAGTATTTCTAACCCTACTCTAGATCCCTGGCTCATGTCTGGCCTTACCTCTTGACTGCCTGCTGGGCCAGCATCCGATTGCCAGCCAGAAACGTCACACTGCCCAGGATGGCCAGGTACTTCAAGGTCTGGAACATGTTGAGCTGAGTCCAGTAGACATACATGAGTCCCAGCATAGCTGCAAGAAGAGGTGTCATGACATCCAATTAAATGAAACATAATGATGCCCTGCGGTTGAGGAAAGTTAGACATAGCAACTGTTGGATCATGAAAAGGTCTGTACTCCTATACCAGCTTGTTTTATTCCTTTGCTCTGATGCCAAAAAGTAGCTAACTCAATATATTCGCCTCTCAGCTGTGGCCAAGTGTGTGGCCAGGCACAGTGGCTCACACCTGTAATCCCAACATTTTGGGAGGCTGAGGCAGGAGGATTGCTCAGGAGTTCGAGACCACCCTGGGCAACACAGTGAGACCTCGTGTCTATTAAAATTCAAAAAATTAGTCAGGCGTAATGGTCCATGTCTGTAGTCCTAGCTACTTAGGAGGCTGAGGTAGGAAGATCGCTTGAGCCTGGGAGGTCAAGGATGCAGTGAGCTTGATCACACCACTGTACTTCAGCCTGGGTGACAGTGATACCTCGTCTCAAAACACACACACACCCACAAACAGGGGTAACAATTGGACTTCAGCGACCTGTGCCATGTTCCTGCTTACAACTATTTCTCTGCTTTTGTTTAAAACTCCTCTGTCATGTTATACTTGGCATTCATTTTTCAAATTCTTAACAAAAATACACAGGATATAAATAGGCTGGGTGCGGGAGCTCACACCTGTAATCCCAGCACTTTGGGAGGCCGAGGCAGAAGGATCACTTGAGGTCAGGCATTCGAGACCACCCTGGCCAACATGGTGAAACCCTCTCTCTACTAAAAATATAAAATTAGCCAGGTGTGGTGGCGCAGGCCTATAATCCCAGCTACTTGGGAGGCTGAGGTGGGAGAATCGCCTGAACCTGGGAGGCAGAGGCTGCAGTGAGCCAAGATCGCACCGTTGCACTCCAGCCTGGGCGAGACAGAGCAAGACTCCATCTCAAAAAAATAAAAAATAAAAATAAAAAATAAACAGGATATAAATAAATGAATAATTTCTTTTTTTATGGGGGGAAACAAACTGTAAGGATAATTTGCCACTGTGACTAGGAAGGGAGCAAGGAGGACTCAGGAAGAAGGCTGAGTGAAAAGGGCTCAGAGCTGGGAACGGAGAGCCCTGGGGCCTGGTCCAGGCCCTGCCCTTACCAGCCACTTAACTTCTCTGAGCCCAGATTCTCCCACCTTGTCAAAAGGGATCATAATTCCTGCCCCAGTCACCCTCATCAGGGCTATGATGATAATCAAATGAGAAAACGTGCACAAAAAGCACAATGGCAGGAAAAGCCACGGCTCTCAACAGATTTATATTCAGGTTTTCTTCTCGGTCTGACCCCAGAGGGCTATCATACATATCCAGGAACTGAGCCAGAGAGAAAGGTCATCCTGTCAGTTTTGCCCAGACAGATGACGGATGAACTACAGCGGGGCTCTTAACCACTTCTGAGGTCACGGACCACTGCACCATAATAATCTGATCAAAGTCACAACTCTCTCTTTCCCCAGAAAAATACAGACATTTGCCTAGAATTTCAAGAGACTTATCTATGCACCCCTACAGAATCTGTTTACTATGGGCGCACAGATAGTGACTCCTGAAAGAGGCAAAGAATTTTAAAAATATTAAGGTCAGGCCAGGCGTGGTGGCTCACACCTATAATCCTAGCACTCTGGGAGGCCAAAGGCGGGAAGACTGCTTGAGCCTAGGAGTTCAAGACCAGCTCTGAACACAGCAAGACCCCGTCTCTACAAAAAATACAAATACTAGCTAAATGTGGTGACACAAGCCTGGAGTCCCAGCTGCTCTGGAGGCTGAGGTGGGAGGATCACCTGAGTCTGGGAGGTCAAGGCTGCAGTGAGCCATGAATGCACCACTGCACTCCAGCCTGGGTGACAGAGTAAGACCCTGTCTCAAAAAAAAAAAAACAACGAACAAAAAATTAAAGTCACAGTGAAATGCAAGGCACCCCTGATCCAATAGCATCAAAAGCCTCAGAAATGCTTAAGTGATTTGTGAATTTACTGTCTTGTTATGTTTAGGCTGTTGAAGTCCTAAGGTCTCCAGAGAACGATGCAGGATAGCATGTCTGACTGTGGAAAGGACTGTTTTCTATTACTACACAGACAGAGCCGGCAGCAAATGTGAAGATCGATAGCGTGGGGAAAGATAACCTTTGGAAACTGCATTAATGCTCTTCATCCAGGAAGATTGCTCAATGTAAAGATACGATAAGTGAGTAATCTCTGGAAATAAACAGGGTTATTAACTGAGGGTAAATGGTCTGCCAACAGTGGCACAGTACAACAAAGCCCAATATAATGACAGCTGTTCTAAGTGATGGACCAAACAGGTTTATCTTCGTATTAACTGTCCTAAAAGGCCAGGAGGAAGAGGGAAATGTAATGCTATTAAGTCATTATAGGTAATAGGTTGTGGGTCTACTTAACAGGGCTTTTGCGTGGGCAGGCTAAATGTCAGAGGACGTTACAGGTAATTAGCAGCCTGGGGCACTTACCAGCATGTCCCAGGTGAAATATAATCGTGCTAGGAGCAAAAGTGAAGTTGGAGACATTGGCACCAATCCGGATCCACTGAATGATGGGGAGAAATAAATTAAAAAGGCATTAGAACTTAAAAGGGAAGCAACACAAGCCATGCCAATGCTAATCCCATCAACAGCCCCAAGGCTTCAAAGTTCATGCATCCTAGAAGGACAGGCAATTCTTCCAAGTGACAACCACCCTATTATAAGCCCTCGGGGAAACTTGTTCCCTTTTTCTTTAGAAAGGCATTCAGCACCTGCTCTCAAATGGGCTCGTGTAACTCAAACCTGAACATCATTTTTAATGATGACAAACCCTACTATTTTAAAACAGGTGAGACCATGAAGCTGAAAGGTCAGAAACTGCATTTATAAGGTAACTGACACCCCCACTAAGTTCTCTAAGAATTGGTAAGATAAACCCACCGGCAGCTGGTGGCATTCACGCTCTTGCCGTGGGTTCCATGTCATTTGAAATTCTCATCACTGAAATGTAAGGACAGGTGCCCATACCCTAGGTCTGGTTTCTGAAAACCTGTAGCAAGGCTTCTAGATTTATCTAGATTTAAACAGTAATTCTTTTGTTAAAAGCAACAATTAGGAACACAGGCAACTTTCCAAAAGTAAGATCTAATGAGTGTTTTCTCAAAATTCTCTGAGCTTTGAGGATATGCATTCATGTTTGTTTATAATTTGAAAAAAGAGAAAAACACAATTGGCTAAAAAAAAAAATTCAAATGGTACTGAAAAGGAGAAAAGGTAAAAGTTACTTCCTCTACATTCTCCAGAATGTCCACTCCTCAGAGATGACCAACACTAACACATATCGCCTTTTAAAACTTATTTTTATTTTTTTTTTAGACAGGGTCTCACTCTGTCACCCAGGTTAGAATGCATGGCTCACTGCAGACTTGACTTCCTGGGCTCATGTGATCTTCCCACCTCAGCTCCTCAAGTAGCCGGGACTACAGGCATACGTCACCATTAATTTTTTTTTTTCTAATTTTCTGATTTTAGTAGAGATGGGGTCTTGCTATGTTGCCCAGGCTGATCTCAAACACCTGAGCTTCAAGCAATCCTCCCACCTCGGCCTCCCAAAGTGCTGGGATTACAGGCATGAGCCACCACACCCAGCCACCTTTTAAAACTTTACAGAGGATCATACTAAACACACTACCCTACCCCTTGCCTTTTTCACTCAGTAACACATCTTGGCAATCTTGTCCTATCAGCATATAAATCTATCCATTCTTTGAAAAGCTGCATATTATTCCATCTTATGAACTTTAGGTTGTTTCTGGTTTTCTGCCCCAAGCAGTGCTGAAATCCACAGCCTTTGTGCTGTTTTTTATAGCTACCAGCATCGGATCTCGCTCTGTTCACACTAGATCTCATCTGAACCCTCCTACGGCATCACAGTCCATCCACTTTTGTCATTCTTAGTGGCTGTTAGGTACTTTCTCATGCCCACTTGTTAATGCGGCAGTTTATTTGGCCACTCCTCCACAGTGGGAACTTTTGGTCATTCTAAAATGTCTTGAGCATCAATTCAGGTCACAGCTGCTGGACCCCTCTGGAGCTTTACTGAGGCCAGACAACACAGCCTCCTTTGGAAGGAATGCATCTGCTGGGTCTGGCGCCAGACGCATGCTGCCCACGCTAATTACAGCCACTCACCAGAGCGAAGAGCAGAAGCAACGGCGAGAGGATCAGGGCAGTGAATGTATTGGACACCACGGTGGGGGGCCTCTTCTCAGGCTCGCGGAACAGGTGCTGCCGAAAGACACACCAAGAAGACTTAAGAATGTGCCCTTCCCAGTAGGGGCAGCCATGTATACCGGGGACCAAAGCATCAATGTCAGTCATGAAGAGGATATGCCGCCCAGAGGCTAAAACCTCTTGGCAACAAGTGGGCATGGGGCCTTTTGCCTCTTCTCAATGCTGGCTTTTGATCCCAGAGGTCTCCCTTCCACAGAGACTACATTAACCCCAGCTCACTGCTTGGCCAACCCTTTATTCCCTTCAAAGACTCACTGCCATTCAGAGGCCAGAGAATGCAATCCATCAAGTGGCATTTGGCTAGTGCCAAAGAGGGTGCCCAGGTATATGGATGGCTTGAGTGACAGGACTGAGGCAGGACGCTGGACTCGCAATGTTTCTGGGTTCCTAGGGTGGCCCTGGCAAATGCTGCTGCCCCACTTAATTGGCTAATGGTGGTAACACTATACCTTTTTAAAAGGTAACAGAGCCTCCCTACAGATCTTTCCACCCATAATTCATCCCTCTCTCCCTGAGCCATGGCTCTAAGGAAGCCCTAAACGAACTTCCCGCTCTCATTTCTTTTTCTTTTTTTTAAAGAGACAGGACCTCACTGTGTCACCCAGGTTGAAGTGCAGTAGCACCATCATAGCTTGCTGTAACCTCATACACCTGGGCTCAAAAGATCCTCCTGCCTTAGCCTCCTGAGTAGTTGGGACTACAGGTACGCGCCACCACACCCAGCTTAATTTTTAAATTCTTTGTAGAGACAGAGTCTCACTAGATCTCCAACTCCTGACCTCAAGTGATCCTCCCTCCTTGGCCCTGCAAAGCAAGATTCGCGTGAGCCACCATGCCTGGCCCAACTTTGATTTCCAGAGTTAAACCAGAAGGCTCGACAAGCATTCTGATGGTATTTCTTGGTTTTTTTTTTGTTTTTTGTTTTTTCCTGAGCAATTCTACATGAATTCTCTTTACGAAGCTCACCTAGATAGTGTGACCTAGCAGAAGCAGCAATGGTGTGGGATTCTGGAGACCTCCGTTTAGGCCCAAACTGAAACGTATGGCTGTGTGACCAGAAGGGAAGTCACTTTCCCACTCTTCACCTCACTTTCCAGCTGGAAAATTGGGGGTGGGGAGGGCCATGACCACCCTGCTAGGCTTGTAAAGATACTCTAAAGACCAAATGAAATAGTGCATTTGATTATGCTTTGTAAGCTGTAACTCATTATGCAAATAGAACTTTTTAAAAAAGATTTTTCCTCCAACGTATCAACTTGTGCCTGCCTTTTCTGCTTGTCAATGCCCAGCCAAACCAGCTCCATGATGACACAGCCCCACTTGAGCCTCCTGTTCCTAAATTTTGACCTCTGCTCTTCTTTGCTGCCGCTGCCATTAAAGGATTTCTAACACTATAGCAGCTGCTGCCACCTACTTCAGCCAGCACCCTTCATCATCACAATTACACCTACCAGTTAGCTGCATTTTACATTCTTAAATAATGCTGTATCAATATGAAAAGGAGTTTTGAAAACAATCCTACTACTCTACCCTTTGAGCACTTGTTTTTTAAAGTGGAATGACAGCAGGTAGTCTGTTTTTGACACTTCAACATTAATTCGTATGCAAGTTTCCAAGTACGATCATTTCTCAAGATTGCAAAATAGTCCACTGAGTGGATCCACCTCAGTTTCCTTAACCAGTATCCAAAGTGTTTAACAATTATTGTGTTTATTTTGGAAAGGGCTTTAGAAACATTTCAAAGCCTTTCTTCACTCATCTGTTATCAACTTTGATTCTCACAACAGTCCTGCGTGCAGGACAGGACCAGGCTTGCTTATCCAAGGACTTGCCTAAGGAAGTAGAGCCCTGTTCTCCCAGGTGAGTTTTCCCACCTGTCGCCCCATCAGCCCTGATTTACACAGGAGCAGGGAGGATAAACGCTAGAACCATCTGCGCTCATAGCTAATAAGCTGTGGTCTGAGGGTTGAACCTGCCGGATGTCAGGAAAACCAGACTCAGGTTCTGATTTCATCTTCAACTCTCTGCTTTCTGGGGGTTAGTCACCGGACTCTTTAAACCTGTTTTCTCAGTTCAAGGATGGGGCTGCCATTTACCCTGCCTAATCCACAGGGTGTGAGGATCAAACTATAAAACATCACAAAACAAGTTAAAGGGAGCAGAGCCACTGTCCAGGGCTTTGTTGCCCTCTCTTCTCCCACGTTTAGTGGATAGGCCCTTTGGGATATACCTGAATTTCCTGTTTTGGAGTGAAAAGGTTCTGGGACAAGACAGTCGAGGGAGCTTCTTCCTCAGGGAACTTGATGACCACATCAGCCTAGAAAAATAAGGACAGTCTGTAAAAGCACAGGGGCAGAGAAGTGGGTGAAACTCAATAGATAATATTCTCTGACTCACATCTAAGACCATAACTGAAAAAAGCTCCAGGCAGTCCCAATCACTTCTGATCCATTAGCTGACAAATTGAGGCAGTAAAAACTTTAAGAACAAAACAAGTATTTGCTGAAAATGCTTTTTAGAGCAAGACTTCTAATTTTCTGCTGGTATAGTAGCCCCATAGAGCTGCTTAATACAAAAATCCCAGCTGGTACACAGGCTGTTACAGTTGCAATCAGAAACAGCTTGGTGTCCCTGGGAAGTGTGATTTAGTCACATTTGAAAAAGAGAGAAAGAAATGAGTATGCGCTCTTGTACAAAAACAGCCTGAAGTCCAGGAGAAGAAAAGAAGTCTTGAATACCACACGAGAAAACGCAGCTGCCCCTTTGTCTTGCAAAGTGAGTCAACCACCATTCAAAGCCTGCAATTTGGCCTCTGCTACCTTTCCAAGCTCATCACCTCCTGCTTTTGACAGGATTCAGGTGCTCTGGCAAAACACAACCGCTCCCATTGCACTGAAAGCACCTTGAGCTCTTCTGCAAGCCCTTCCCCAATGATCACCCCACAGCCCCAGATCTGATAAACCCTTGCCATTCTTCAACCCCTTGCTCAAATGCCCTGTCTTGCAAGACGTTTACTCTCATCACGCCAATCCAAAGTGAGGCATGCAGGAAGGCACTATGTAAACAACAACATGCTACACAAATGTTGGTTATTAGTTAATTAGCATTTTGCACATTGTACAATTCACTTTTCTACATCATCCTGAATTGTTATCAGAATTCAGATCTCATCCCTCCCATGAGCTATGCCATATCTCAAAGGCCAGGGCCTTAACTTTCACATCTACGTAACCCCAATAGTGCCTGCTATAATATGAAAACGGCCTTCCTGTATAATGTTTATAGAAATTCACAGATACTAGCACTCACAAAGTTTATACTTCCTTCACTCACTTAATATTTATTAAGCACGTACCATGTTGCCAAGCCCCGTGCATGACCCCAGGACTATTTATGGAGACTGCACACAGTGCCTCACCTCCCAAGCTTATTTATAGGAGGCACAGGCAAGGCGAAG
The DNA here is from genome assembly GCF_000001405.40 of Homo sapiens. NCBI lineage: Eukaryota > Metazoa > Chordata > Mammalia > Primates > Hominidae > Homo > Homo sapiens. The sequence goes on along the minus strand of NW_025791812.1, from coordinate 138,334 downwards.
GTGAAGAGCCCCATGCCCCTGAAAAAGAGCCACCAGTGCCTGGGGCACAGCCACTCTCACCTGGGTCGGGGTACATTCAGGCACATACCACATTCCAGAGGATTGGGTTCTTCAAAGTGGCATCTCCAATGATTAAGTAGAGAGTGTAGGTGCCAGAGGCAGAGTCAAATTCAATCTTTCTTTCAGAGGTATCCAGTTCAAACTTGTACACGTTCTTGTTGTCTGGCTCGGCAACAAACACCACTTCCTGGCCAGTCTTCTGGTTATGGAGTCGGACAAATGTCTAGATGGAAGAATAATACAATCTTTCATCTGATAATTTCAAGATTCTCCCTGGGCCTAACATTGAATCCACCGGGCAGCAGACGGTTATTAGCGCTTTGTCACAGTGAGAGCTCTGGGATCTGCCAGACCTGCCCCAGAGAGTAGAAGGAGTGGCCATGCCACCCTAGTTCCCAGCTCAGAGATAACTTTTTGCTGGTACAAGGAAGGAAATTTAACTTACGGGTCCAGCCAATTCTCGACTAGTTGGAGGCTGACTGCCCAGTTTGCAGATGATTTAAGCCCTTTGCTATTGCTGCAATTTCTTTTTCCCGCCAGCCTTTTGGTCACTTTGCTGCCCAATTAACTGCTTCACCAGAGGGTGAAAAGAAAGGAAATGAGGTGGAACTGTAAGAGGCCCATTTTCAATTTCCTTGTGCCTCCAGCTAAAGATTTAGTAGAGGAGGCTTGGGTATTGATGGTAAGGCAGAGTTCTAATCAAGCAGAGCAGCCCAGTGTCATGGAGAGAGCCTCGGCTTGGAAGACAGATTTGCTTCCACTACTTATTAGCTGAGCAAGTTACTTAACTTCCTTGTGCTTTGATTTCTTCAACTTTAAGGCAGAAAAATTAACTTCCAGATGTGGCATATCTGTGTGAAGATTTGCAATACCATATGCTAAGCATTAGTGCAGGGAACGGTATATGCTAGCTAGTCAACAAATAGTAGTTAATAGCAATACGATGGTACTGAGTCTAATCACTTTATCCCCACTAATGGCACAAGAAACCAAGGTGTCTGCACATTAGAACTGGACCAAAACTTGATAACTACCCAGAGCTTTTCTTTCAGGTGTTTCAAAATAAAGAATTCAACAAGGCAGGTAGGTTTACAGATCCAATTTACAGATCACAAGGCACAAGCATTAAATGAGTTGGCAGGGTGACAGAGCCAGCACTGTATCTACAGAAAATCTACATCTCATGTGTTAATCTATACCTGAACAACAAAGAACCACCACCAAAGCATTTAGGGAAAGAGGCCCAGAGATATGAAGCATCCCAACTACAGCAATTAGTCTTGGCCAGGAATGGAATGGGGAGACCGGATGCCAGATCTCCTTCCTATCACAATCAAGTGCAGGCAGCTGCCAAGTTCATCACCAAAATGCCACCTCCACCTGGAAGGTCTCTAGGCCATGATTCTACAGCAGAATTCTGGATGAGACAAGTATTCAGTGAAAGTTACACTTCCTCACTAACTCTCCTTGCTCTAATCCTAATCCTACTAGTTTAGTCTTTTACTTTCTTCTCTTTGTACTCTTCCTTCCCTTGTGCTATTTGGTTGGCAAATGTCATTCTGGGAAGAAGCTGGGAAATGCTAAGAGGCTGAAGTACTCAAAGGTCAGTTAGGCTTGGCTAAGGGCCCTAACCAAGCTGTCTGGAGTTTGGGAGTAGGGAGGAGAGAGGAGCAGAGGACTCCCAGGACTGTGGCCATAGAGGAACGTGCTCCTGGGGCACAAGTCCAACAGCTGCAGCTGCAAGAAACAGAAAGCAAGAAGGTTCTCAAGTAAATCCAGTTGCCTCTGAGGTCTGCCCTGAAGCTGCCTCAAGGCAACAAGTCTGCTGGTCCTTGCTAAAGCATCGGTACAGGGTACCCCATACCAAACTAGGTCCCGCATTCCTGTCTTTCAGCATTCAAAGTATTTATCTGAATCTTCCTTCACGTAACACTAAAGGCAGGTTATTCTCCATCAAGGGGGATGACAGGCAGTGTGGGAGTGGGGGTATCTGAGTGGACATGGGGCCATATTAGGTTCTCAGGGGAAAGAGTATATGGTTTGAAAATCTTTTAAATAATAATTTTCATTACTCTATGAAAAAAATAAAGCCTATTGCTTTCATAATACAAAGTAAGCACAAGTTAAAAGGGCTATTCTTCAGAGTCCCACAAATACAAAATCTGCTTTGGCTAGAATAAAAAAATGCTTTGGGTCTTCTTTTGAAATTATTTCAGTATATTCCCTTATTTATTTATACATACATACATACACACAAATGAGGTCTCACCATATTGCCCAAGCTGGTCTCCAACTCCTGGGCTCAAGTGATCCTCCTACCTCTGCCTCCAAAGTGTTGGGATTACAGGCGTGAGCCACCATGCCTGGCCAGCACATTCCCTTTTTTAAATCAGAAAGAAAAAGCCTCGAGTCTAGTGCCATGCTTATAATCCCACCACTTTGGGAGGCTGAGGCAGGCGGATCACCTGAGGTCAGGAGATGAGAACAGCCTGGCCAACATGGTGAAACCCTGTCTCTGCTAAAAATACAAAAATTAGCTGGGCATGGTAATGCATGCCTGTATCCCAGCTACTTGGGAGGCTGAGGTAGGAGAATCGCTTGAACCTAGGAGGCAGAGGTTGCAGTGAGCTGAGATCACACCACTGCACTCCATCCTGGGTGACAGAGCAAGAGTCCATCTGAGGGAGGGAGGGAGGAAGGAATGACCTTAATTAAGTGCAAATCTGCCTTAAGTACCTCTCCTCAATACCAGCTAACTTTTTAGAAAGAAGGGTGTATCCCAGGTAAAGGACTACAACCAGTAGAAGGGTGAGAGTGTCATGTGGGAGAACCTGATGGACTGTCAGGGTTCGGTCAAAACCTGAAAGCAGGAACGTGGAATTCTCTCTAGTCCATGTTATAGACCACATTGTAAACTCTAGTATCCATTCACATTTCAGGTTAAGAGAACTGTCTAGGTGTCTTCCTGACCTGGTGAGGAGTGAGTTCAGCACCAGTGTTCACATCTACCAGCTGGAAGAACAAGGCGAAGTTCTGGTGGCTGTCTGCGATGAATGTGCCCTTGGCTTTGGCTGGGTATGTCACCCTGAAAGAGGCATATAGAGTTAGTCTTCAGAGAGGATCAGTATATCTCTGAGAACAGGCAGAAAATATATACTTCACTTCATTGCCTCAACCACCCTCTCCCATAGTAACACTTCTGTTGTGGACAGACAGATGTGGAGAACTGTCTGCAACCTGGGGGCAAATTGGACTGATAAAGCCTGGACTGAGAAAAGTGCAGAATAAACTTCCAGCAGGATCTGGGGAAATGCTGTGTACAGATGCTTGTACCTCTGGGCTTTCACTTCAAGGACCTAAGGCTCTCAACTCCAACAAAGTCAGGCACCAGAGGAGCTCACGTGTGGCCTCTGCAGGCACACAGGAGAGCCGGGCTGGCAGAACCGCAAGGAGAAATAATTACAGGATTGATGCCAGCAGCACACGTGAGCAAAATCGAGACAAGGCAGGTAGGAGACACAAAAGAAAGAAGGGTACTTTCAGCTTTGTCTTTTTTTAATGCTATATTTTTTTCCTGGACACTGTTTCAATTTAGTTTTCTGCCCTGAAACTGGGTTTTAAAAAGTCATTTTCCCAAAAGGCAGACTTGATGAGGAAAACTTCTTTTCACAGCTATCTCCTGGGATTTTAGGGTAAGATGGCCAGGGGATAAACCAGCCAAATGGTTACAGAGCTCAGACCTGGCTTTATTTTATACTCACATTTTACATTTACTCGTAAGTAAGACCAACTCTTCATCTAGGCAGAGAATTAAACAGCAAAGCGCTCGCACAGACATTTCTTCAGTGGATTCTTAAACAGTGCTCTTATCTCCAATATCACTACAAAAATAGCCAACCCAGAGACACAAAGGCCAACTCTATGTGATTTAAAAGGAGTAGCTGCTTGGCTTCCAGCCTCTGGCTAACATCCCATCTTCAAAGAGCCTTGATGGTTCACCCTACTGTCTTCTGGCCTCTATAGCTACCCTAGTTGAGTAAAGTTGGGGTCTGGACTATACCCCAGAAATCTAGATCCCCGCTGAGCCAATAAGGATCTGGGGGAGGGCTGATGAGCAGGCTTCTTACAGCATTCTGGCCCAACTCTGTTCAATTGTTAGTGTCTACTTAGAAGATTATGTTTCAAAAAAAGATTCTGAGGCTGTGTCTGAGTTCAGTGGGAGCAAATGTTCTATGACTTCTTAGTACTGCCTCCATGGACTTGGGAGGGGGAAATGGCAGCCCTAGTGCTGGGTATCTGCCATCTCAATTTTAAGCACGTGTGAGGCTTCCAACTAATTTCAGACCCATCATAGGCCAGAGAGACTTGCCATTAGGTCACTAAAAGCAAATTCAGGACTGTGATGATAAGGAGATCGCACCAGAATGTAAATTAATACCTTGCTTCCTTCATTGAGAAGGTCTTATTATTTTAAAAATTATCATCTGAACTAAATAATATGCTTAGTGACATAGCTGACTGACTCAGACTAACATCCTGAGGTAAGCGCTTTACCTCGTTGAGGACTGGTTAATAAATAGTTTGTGCATGGACTAAACACTGGTATATACAATCTCCAAATCCACTTAGATAATTCGCAGAATCCCCGGTGCAGGACCAGTGGAACTACAGACTCTTTAATTTAGGATGTAAGCTGGATGGCTGCTGACACAGAACTGATGCCTGCAGGGCTCAGTGCCTAGGCATACTCCTCTCAGCTCTTGAGCCTCAGCTCCCTGAGTGATCAGGTGGCATCTCACCTACCGGGTAGTTTTGGGTGCAATGCTCTGATCCTTATCCACGGTGGAAAGATCAACATTTGTGATGCCAACTTCAGTGGAGATCTTGACTCTGAGCTAGAGGAAAATAGAGAAGACAGTTGCCAGGTCAATTGGTGGGTGTTCAGGAATTCACATGCAGATATAAAGTTTTCTATTCTTTAAGGTGAGTAAAGGCATGAAAAAATCCTAGAACAAGAGTCTTCAAGGATGATAATAACACTGACCCAGCCCAGTAATATTTCCAACCTCTCCCATTCCGAGGCCTAAAATGTCTTTTTCTGGCTTTGGATGGATGGTAAACATCAAAAAAAAAAAAAGAAGAAGAAAAAGGAAAAGAAAAAAAGTAAATCTTTTCATGTGTCCTTTAAAATAAATAAGGGGAAAAATCCTTAAGCAGTACCTTTCATTCAAATCAGCAAGAATTGGGTTCTAATGATAGCTAGGATTTATTGAGTGCTTACCATGTGAAAGGCACTGGCTTTGTAAAGACTATCTCATTTAATCCTCACAATTCTGTAAGGTACTGCTTTTCAGATAAGGAAATAAAAGATGAGAGAGATGAAGCTGCTTTGCTCAAAATCAGACTGTGAGGAAGTGATCAGGCCAGTGTCAAGCTCAGGCACTCTGACTCAGAATCCATGCACTTCAGCTCCTTGTTAGACAGTCATGGTAGTTATCTGTACTGTTGCCCAAGTACTTCTCATTCTCCTTCTGAGCATGTGGTAGAATTCTACTTCCCTGCCCCCATGGAGTCAAGTGTGGCCACATGATTTGCTCTGGCCAATGAAATGTGGGCAGAAGTGAAAGCTTTAAGAATCAATGTGTGATTCTCTCTTTTCCTCTGACATGGACACAATGTCCAGATGCTTGCTCCTTCAGCCAGGGTCCTGGAGCAAAGATATCATGAAGCAGAGCCTCCAGTTGACCACCTAAAGAATCTAGCGTGGGGAAAAAATAAACCCTCATTGTTTTAAGCCACTGAGATTGGGAGTTTGTTATAAGCACAAACCAATCCATGTTGACTCTTAAAGTGTTTGAATTCTGTATGTCCCTTAAACATCTTCACAAAGAGGGGCTAATGCCAATAAATGAGAAATTTTAAAATTAGATTAAAATCAATGTAAATATCCAAAAGAGACAGAAAACATGTTAAATTTCTGAATTAAAACCCAAGTTTGAATGTGCAAATTATGCAAACCCAAGGCGCTTTTATGTGCAAACAGATCTGTAAGCCTTCCAAATATTTGATAGGTTTGAATGTAACACTTAAGGAAATCCTTGCCAAATCCACTGGTTTATAGTCTAAGTCAGGATCAAGGAATAGAGATAACGGGCTGGGCAAATAATTGAAGGATAGCTCTGGCAGTTTTCTGAAATACCATATCGAGGTGTGACAACCTCAAATCAAGGGCAAAGAAGAAAAATTAAAAATAAAGATACCTATCAAGTAATTCCTTCTAACGGCCTTCTTTCCTGCCTCTGTAATAACTATTTTATGACAACAGCCTCAATTATCATGTTGAATAGGGGTGTTGTTTTGCTTTAAAAAAAAAAACTGTAAAGGTTTATTACCAGAAGCTGTAAGGATATTACCATCTACTTTTGAATTCACAGCCACCTATGAATTCATAGCAGAACTATATTTAGGATCATTGCCTGTCATTGAGTCTAGGCAACTGGGTGAAATTATGGCAGTGGAGGAGGAGGGACGATGGCCCATCAGGTTGAATAGACACCCCCAAGAAGGGAGCTAGGAGCCTCACTTTGGCTCTTTGGGCTCTCTGCTGAGTTAACAGCGTTACAACTCACGCAAGGCTCAGAACCAGAGCAAGCTTTCTTGCAAAAAACACAACCCGACAAGTACTGACATCATTTCCACTGGAAAACAAACTGGAATGGAAGGCTCAGGCAAAGAAGTAGCCACAGAGCTTTGATTTGACACCTGCTGAGAGCACTTTCCCCATTCAGGGAATATACAGAGATGGCAAGAAATCCTTCCTGTCCCGTACACAAACCATAATTATAATAAACCAGGTTGCTGCTTTAATGGATGTACAAAGTGTTATGAAAGCACAGAAGGAACTGTGACCCAAGTCTGCCCATGGGTGGCCCCAAATGGGGAGTAGGAAACATTCCATAGCAAGAAGACTGAGGAGGAGGCTTGATGGGCTTAGCAGCCCTCCAATTTTGGGAGAGGTAGGAGGATTAGCAATAATACTCCATGCTATAAAAATAATCTGTCTTCAGAGTTAACTACTCTGCAATCTTCATCAAGATTAACTAGGTAATTCCCTATTTCTCTAACTCATTCTCTTAAGAACTCATTCATTTAATCTGTAAATGTGATCTTGAAATCATCATCCTACTGAAATGTCCATAAACAGAAGACTAGCTAAATAAAGAAAGATACATGCATATTATTAATTACTATGGAGCAATTAAAAAGAACAGACTAGGCCGGGCGTGGTGGCTCACGCCTGTAATCCCAACACTTTGGGAGGCCGAGGCAGGAGGACCATTTGAGGTCAGGAGTTTGAGACCAGCATGACCAACATGGCAAAACCCTGTCTCTACTAAAAATACAAAAAAATTAGCCAGACATGGTGATGCACGCCTGTAGTCCCAGCTACTCAGGAGGCTGAGACAGGAAAATGGCTTGAACCCAGGAGGCAGAGGTTGCAGTGAGCCAAGATCATGCCACTGCACTCCAGCCTGGGCAATAGGGCAAGGCTCCGCCTCAAAAAAAAAAAAAAAAAAGAATTGTGTAAAGTCTTCAGTGTCTCCTAATGATAGTGATAAGGAAGCTATCAGCTTTTAGGTTTTCACTTAGAATCCTGGCTGTAAACTCTCAGCACTAACTGGCCACCAAGGCCAGCTAATCAGGATCCAGCTTCGTGTGTGTTCTAAAGACATCCTGAGCATCCCCAGACAATGCAGATACATGGAGTGAGCAAAGGGCAAACTGCAGTGAACTTGCATCATTCTTGGTTTGCTCTCAGCCCCAATTTTAAAAGGTTTCCTAAGTTACAGCTTTCATTGTTGCACATAAACACCCGTAGGGCTGTTCCTAAATAGGGAACAGTTTAAAACAAATCCTTCTGCTCCTAAAATCTCACTATAAATGGGTCTCTGGAAACACTCAAAAGCAAAGCATTTTTATGCTACTCTTTTAAAGCAAATTTAGAAATAAAAATCGTAACTTTTTCCAAAGCCCTCTTTTAAAGAGTTCAGTGTAGGATCCCTGTTGATTAGCTGCTTCTTCCTTCCAACTAACAATGCAGGATTCGTTTTTATAATAGGAAAGGGACTTATTTCTCCACTTTAAATGCAGCTAAGCCTGCTTTACACTGGATCATGCTATTCCTTTCTTTGCCTGCACCACATGCCATATACATCTCAAAAAATGTTTTAACGCCAGGAAATGCAGTCTTTCTGCTGGGAGTAATAACACCCCTGTTTAGCTTATTACTGTCAAAAATGATGGTGCATTAGGGGCAATTAATGCTAATGAGAGCGTCCAAAACCGATGCTTCCCCTGACAGCCAGTCCAATGTCAATGAGGGCTATTACAGGACTTCCACACCAAACCACCGTTAATGCACTCTGACCAATGTCGAGCATTTCTTGGGAGGACAAACAGGACCCAATGACCTGCTCTGAGGCTCTAAGTGTGATTATTACTGAAATTACAAAGAAAAGTTGCATATACGGCAAAGGTCAAAGCCGACTCTCTCTCTCTCTCACACTCACACACACACACACACACACAAACACACACACCTCTAATGTAATAAGGAGGAAGAGAGAAGATTTTGTAATGCTTACTCCATCACTAGGGAGGAAAAGGAGAGTAAATGGCCTCAATGGGGGCTTATTATCATTGCATGAACAAGAGCTATTAGCCATTTCTGCTATTTTGTACTTAGATAATTTTTCCAACAATCACAGAAACACTTGGACAAACACCAGATTTGATGTTACAAAATGCCAAGCTGTTACAGTAATCAAGACAGCGTGGCACTGGCATAAGGACAATACAGATTAATGAAATAGAATTATGAGTCCAGAAATCAACCCTTACATTTATTGTCAAGTGATTCCTACAAGGATGTATGTGCCAAGGCAATTCGTTAGGGAAAGAACAGCCTTTTCAACAAATGGGTCTAGGACAACTGCAAAAGAAGACTGGACCCCCTACATCACACCATACACAAAAATTAACTCACAATGAATCAGAAACCTAAGGGTAGGAGCCAAAAGTATAAAATTCTTTTAAGAAAACATAGTAGTAAATCTTCTTAACCTTGGATTACATAATGGCATCTTAGACATGACACCTAAAGCACAAACAACAACAACAAAACATTTTAAAACTGGACTTCATCAAAATTAAGATTTTTTGTGCCTCAAAAGACAACATCATGAAAGTGAAAATACAACCTTCAGACTGTGAGAAAATATTTGCAAATCATGTATTTAATAAGGAACCTCTAACCAGAGAAACCCTTACAACTCAATAATATAAAAAGATAAATAAAAGGAAATAAGAGGTGTATAGATTGTAGAAGGAAGAAAAAAAGACCAAAAACATTTTTTTCAATGGACAATGGATTTGAATAGACATTCTTCTAAAGAAGATATGCAAGAGACCAATAAGCACATAAAGAGATACTCAACATTATTACCTATCAGAGAAATGGAAATCAAAACCATAATGAGACACCACTTTATACCCACTACGATGGCGAAAATCAAAAAGTCAGATAATAACAAGTGTTGGTGAGGATGTAGTAAAATTGGAACCCTCACACATTGCTGGTAGAAATGTAAAATGGTGCAGCTGCTTTGAAAACTTGTTAGTTTCTTGAAAAGTGAAACACCGAGTTACCATATGACGCAGGAATTCTATTCCTAAGCATATACCTGAAAGAACCAAAAACAAGTGTTCAAACAAAAAGTTATATACAAATGTTCACAGCAGCATTACTCATAAGAGCCAAAAAAGAGAAATACCTCAAATGTCATTAACTGATAAGTCGGTAAACAAAATGTGATATATCCATACAATGGAATATTATTTTGCCATAAAAAGAAATAAAGTACTAATACATGCTACAACATGGATGAACCTTAGAAGTATTATGTTAAGTGAAAAAACAAAAAAGCCAGACACAAAAGGTAACCTATTGTATGATTTCATTTACACAAAATGTCCCAAATAGGCAACCACAGAGACAGAAAGCAGAAAGTAGGAAGAGAGAATGAGGAGTGCCCACTAAAAGATATAGCATTGCTCTCCAGGGTGATAAATATATTCTGGAATGGCATTGTGGCAAGGGTTGCACAAGTCTGTGAAAATACTAAAAACACTGGATTGCATAGTTTTGTTTTTTTTGTTTTTTTTTTTAGCAGAGACGGGGTTTCCCCATGCTGACCAGGCTGGTCTCGAACTCCTGATCTCAGGCGATCCACCTACCTCGGCCTCCCAAAGTGCTGGGATTATAGGTGTGAGCCACTGCGCCCAGGCTTTTTGTTTTTTTGAGACAAGGTCTCACTCTGTTGCCCAGGCTAGAGTGCAGTAGTGTGATCATAGTTCACTGCAGCCTCAAACTCCTGGGCTCAAGGGATCCGCTTGCCTCAGCCTCTTAAGTAGCTGGGACAGGTACATGCCACCATACATGGCTAATTTATTTTTAAATTTTTGGTAGAGATGGGATCTCCCTGTGTTGCCCAAGCTTGTCTCTAACTCCTGGGCTCAAGCGATCCTCCCACCTCAGCCTCCCAAAGTTCTGGGATTACAAGCGTGGTGGCTCATGCCCAGCCTGAATTACATACTTTTAATTGGTAAACTTTATGGTATGAGAATTATACCTCAATAAAGCTGTTATTAAATCAATAAATAAAAGCTAACTCTTGGCCGGGCCTAGTGGTTCACATCTGTAATCCCAGCACTTTGGGAGGCCGAGGCGAGGCAGATCACCTGAGGGTCAGGAGTTTGAGACCAGCCTGGCCAACAAGGCAAAACCCCGTCTCTACTAAAAATACAAAAAAATTAGCCAGGCATGGTGGCGTGTACCTGTAATCTCAGCTACTCAGAAGGCTGAGGCAGGAGAATCACTTGAACCCGGGAGGTGGAGGCGGAGGTTGCAGTAAGCCAAGATCGTGCCACTGCACTCCAGCCTGGGTGACAGCAAGATTCCATCTCAAAAAAAGAAAAAAGAAAAAAAAAAGCTAAGTCTGGAAGATGAATTGCCAGAGTTCTGAAGGGCCTGCAATGTGGAAAAACATCTTTAGACCACTCTATCCTTTTCTTCCTCTAAGTAATGTTAAATGGAAACCAAGCACTGAAAAAATAAGATTTAGGCCGGGCATGGTGGCTCACGCCTGTAATCCCAGCATTTTGGGAGGCCGAGGCAGGCGGATCACAAGGTCAAGAGATCAAGACCATCCTGGCCAACATAGTGAAACCCCGTCTCTACTAAATATACAAAAATTAGCTGGGCATGGTGGCGCGTGCCTGTAGCCCCAGCTACTCGGGAGGCTGAGGCAGGAAAATCACTTGAACCCAGGAGGCGGAGGTTCCAGTGAGCCGGGATTGCGCCACTGCATTCCAGCCTGGTGACAGAGCGAGACTCTGTTTCAAAAAAAAAAGAATAATAATAATAATAATAATAATAATATTTAGTTTTCACCCATAGGAGTTCTCAGCCCAGTGAAAAAGCAATGCAGGTGGTGGTTCACGCCTATAATCCCACTACTTTGGGAGGCAAAGGTGGGCAGATCGCTTGAGCCCAGGAGTTCGAGAGCAGCCTGGGCAACATGGCAAAACCCAGTCTCTAGAAAAAAATACAAAAATTAGCTGGGCATGGTGGTGCATGCCTGTAGTCCCAGCTACCTGAGAGGTTGAGGTGGGAGGATCACCTGAGCCCAGAAGGTCAAGGCTGTAGTGAGCCATGATCACGCCACTGCACTCCAGCCTGGGTGGTAGAATGAGACCTTGTCTCAAAAAAAAAGAAAGAAAAAGAAAAAGAAAAAGCAATGCATATAAACAAACAATGGTAATATAATGCAATAAGTACAATTATAGAAAAGGGTGTAAAATACTACAGCAACAAAAATGAACTTCAGATAGACCGAAGCCTTAAATATAAGGGGGAAAACAACTTTAAAAATGTTCAAAAGACACTGGAGGGCCAGGTGCAGTGGCTCACGACTGTAATCCCAACACGTCGGTGGGCCAAAGCAGGCGGATCATTTGAGGCCAAAAGTTGGAGACCAGCCTGGCTAATATAGCAAAACCCTGTATCTACTAAAAATGCAAAAATTAGCCAGGTGTGGTGGCATGCACCTGTAGTCCCAGCTACTCGGGAGGCTGAGGCAGGAGAATCGCTTGAACCCCGGAGGCAGAGGCTGCAGTGAGCCAAGATGGCACCACTATACTCCAGCCTGAGTGACAGAGCGAGACTCTGTCTCAAAAACAAAAATAAAAATAAAAAAAGAAAACATTGGAGAATATCTTTTTGACTTTGGGGTAGCACAGGATTGTTTTAAAGAAGATATAAAAAACACAGTCTAGCAAAAAAACTTGTATTTTATTTATTTATTTATTTTTTTGAGACAGAGTCTGGCTCCATTGCCCAGGCTGGAGTGCGGTGGCACGATCTCAGCTCACTGCAACCTCCACCTCCCAGGTTCAAGCGATTCTCCTGCTTCAGCCTCCCGAGTAGCTGGGATTACAGGCACGTGCCACCACGCCTGGCTACTTTTTGTGTTTTTAGTAGAGATGGGGTTTCATCATGTTGGCCAGGCTAGTATTGAACTCCTGACCTCAGGTGATCCGCCTGCCTTGGCCTCCCAAAGTGCTGGGATTACAGGTGTGAGCCACCTCACCTGGCCCTAGGAAAAGACATTTAAATTAGGCTTCATTAAAATTAAATTTTGTGCTTCAAGAGATGCCATAAAGCAATTCTAGGGGAAGATATCTGATGCTCACAACTAAACATATATCACTCCTAAAAATCAGTAATAAGACTAACAAACCAAAAGAAAACCAGGCAAAGATATAAAACAATTCACTGGAAAGGAAATGTAATTGGCTAATAAATATATAAAAAGATGTTTAACTTTACCAGTAACCAAGGAAAGACATTAAAACAAGATACCTTTTCATATGCATCAGATTACTAAAACCTAAAAATACCAAATATTGGTACGAATATGGAGAATAGAGCAATTTGGTGACTGTAACAGCAAAAGACTCATGGAAAAGACAATCAGAGGTGGAATCAATAGGACTTGGTAACTGACTAGAAGGTAGAAGTGAAAAGAAAGGAAGGGGTTAAGAACTGTGAGGTATAAGCCTGGCATTTAAGATGGACTCGAAGTACAGGGAAGAAGAGGTTTCAAGAAAAAAAAAGAAAAGAAAAAAAGAACTTTCCTTTTAATATGTTCAGTTGCAAATAAGTCCTCTTAACATAGGAAACTAACATTATAAGAATGTGGATTTGAAAGGATCAAGGCATACGCTACAATAGCTTCTATCCATAGTGAACGAACTAAGATCAGATGTCTCATGCTAAAAAGGTCAACACATGAGGTGAAGAGATTCGAGTTCCAGAAAACATCTTCCTTTCTGCCAAACTTTAAATGCAAGTGTTGAATCTACCTATGGGAAGTAATGCCGCATTTTTGAAAAGGTCAAACTTTCTAGCTATTAATTCTGTCATTAAAAGAAAGCAAGTGTCACAGGAGCCAATTTGAGGAGCTCTCCAAAGGCCAAACCTAGGATAAAATGAGCAACAAGATAAATGAGTCATGGACCACAATGTATATAGTAAAATAAATGTCCATGATGCAATTATTGTAAACATATGAATTATAGAAAATATATTACATTATAAACATGTTATGATAAAGAATTATGATAGTTATAAATAAAATGGTATAAAACACAGTTATTTTCTTACAGCAGAATTCCAATTTTTAAAATGTAGAAGGAATGAAAGAGAAAATCACCCTTTGGCAAACACCACAGTAATAACTATTACAGACAACATCATTAGGATACTTACAGAGTCTCAAAGTACCACCCCACAAGACACTTAAATACAAGCAGAAAAACAGCAACTTTACAGCAGAGAAACCTAGCACACAATCACCTTACTCAAGTGATCAAGGTTAACATGACCTGTAATAAGACATATCGACATCATATACTTCTTGTTCTGAGTAGGGCAGAGCATTACTTTTGGGATAGAACTGCGGAAAATGCATGACCTGAACCTGATCATGAAGAAACATCAGACAAACACAAACGGAGAGACATTCTACAGATTGAGAGCCCATCCTCTTCAAGTGTCAAGGTCATGAAAGACAAAGAAACCATCTTAAATTGGAAGTAAGAAAGTAGGAAAATGTGTCACTCATCTTAAATAAACTTCTATCTAAAAAGATTACAATGAAAGCCACCATGCCAGATGGGGTAAATTTCAATTAGCTGGGAAAAATACTAAGGTGAACTACCTCTTTCCCACAAAGCATCAGGTAAATAAGGCTTTCTATCCTTAAAGCTACTTCGATCTTCAACCCAGCTAGAGTTAGCTAAACATCAACAAAGTTCATTATGAAAGATTACTGATTTTCTTTTATCCTTTACCCAAATAGCTTCATTATAGTGTTACGTATGTGTCACTTGGTGCTTTTTGTCACCTATTTGGCATCAAGCACTTTTCTAAACCCACCAAAGCCTATCACACAAAACACTTTAAGAGTTTAAGGCTCAGTGGAATTATGGGTGATTTTTATTTTTTCTACTAACTAAATTTCATGTAAGACAGTAATGCTAAATTATAATGGAAAATGAAAAACTTACAAATAAAAGAAAATTCACTATGACCAAGTTCTTGATTTACTGCCTTAGCTACTAAGTCTGTCAAACAGCAAAGACTGAATGCAGCCCTCCCTCCACATAAACACATTAGCTTGGTTGTAGAGAAAAGTCAATGCACCAGACAATTAATACTGTGTCAATTTGGCCATATCCTTGGATATACTAACATGGCAATGGGAAGGAAAGAAAAACACCTACCTCTACGGTATTTGCAATATACCGGTTGTCACCTTCAACTTCGACAAGGAAGTCATAATAACCACTGGAAAATTTGACGTTCATGAAATTTAGTTCAAAAACATCCCTGTTAAGAATGACAATGGGCTTAGCAAGAACTCAGGTAGGAAAGTCATGGATATAACAAACAGGAGCTACAAAATGTCTCCTGGAGACTGTCCAAGGCTAGCCAACTCCTTACCTTTTTGACTTCCCACCCCACTTGGGCAATCTCGTGCTTCTTATTTTTTTTTTATTTTGAGACAGGTTCTCACTGTCACCCAGGCTGGAGTATAGTGGCACGATCACAGCTCACCACAGTCTCAAAACTCGTAGGCTCAACTGATCCTCCCACCTCAGCCTCCCTGGTAGTTGGGACAGCAGGCATGCACCATCACGTCCAGATAATTTTGCAGTTTTTTGTAGAGACAGGGTCCTGAGATCAAGTGATCCACCTGCCTCAGCCTCCCAAAGTGCAGGCTGGGGCATGAGTCACCATGCCTGACCCTCGTGCTTAATCACAGATTGGCATGTGGAGAAAAGTATCTAAGATGAACACCCCTAGGTTTCCAACGTTTTCTTTTCCTTTGTTACTCCCACCACTCCTAAAATTCAAACTCCTGGTAGCTTTCCACAGTGTAATGTAAAATTGAGAAGTTTACAATGTGATCCCACATATGTTTCACAATGACAACAAAAATGTAGAGGAAAATACTCCAAAATGTACAAAGAGGTTGGTGTACGATAGTATAATTGTGGCTAATTTTTTGGTATGATTTCTACCTTTCCGTGTTTTGTGAATTTCTCAAAAAGGACATATCTTACTTTTATTAAAAATATTTATTTTTATTTTAAAGGGAAAAAAAGGTAGAGAATTCCTTACTCTAACTATATAGTAAAATCTCAATGTCTTTTACCACTCCATTGACACGCCTAAAAATGATTTTGCTTTTTAATTTCACATATTGCCTATGTATCCTTATGATTAAGAAACGCATTTTCTCTCTAAAATTGAAAACTCCTGATCTCAATAACTTATTACCTAATTTAACACTTCAAAAAGTTCCATATAAGGCCAGTGGCTCACACCTGTAATCCTGGCCCTTTCGGAGGCCAAGGCAGGCGGGTCACTTTAGGTCAGGAGTTCGAAACCAGCCTGGCCAACATGGTGAAACCCCATTCCTACTAAAAATACAAAAAAAATTAGCTGGGCATGGTGGCGGGTGCCTGTAATCCCAGCTACTTAGGAAGCTGAGGCAGAATTCCTTGTACCTGGGAAGCAGAAGTTGCAGTGAACCAAGATCACGCCACTGCATTCCAGCCCAGGCAACAGAGCGAAACTGTCTCAAAAAAAAAAAAAAATTCTATACAATTAGCTGGGAAAAACACTAATTCATATAAAAATTGACCCTTAATTTTTTTCTTTTAGAAACAGGTCTTACTATGTTGCCCAGACTGGTCTTAAGCTCCTCGGTTCAAATGATCTTCCTGCCTCAACCTCCAAGTAGCTGGACTACAGGTACCTGCTACTGTGCCCAGCTTGACCCTTAGTTTTTTGTTTTTGTTTTTGAGACAGAGTCTCCCTCTGTCACCCAGGCTGGAGTGATATGGTATGATCATGGCTCACTACAGCCTAGACCTCCCAGCCTCAAGCGATCCTCCCACCTCAGCCTCCCAAGTAGCTGGAACTATAGGCAAGCCACACACCCAGTAAACTGGGCCTTAGTTTTTAAAAAATTACATAGCAATAATATGCAGCCATTAAAAATCATTGTAAAGGCCAGGCATGGTGACTTACAACTGTAATCCCAGCACTTTGGAGGCTGAGGTGGGAGGATCACCTGAGGTCACACGCCTATAATCCCAGCCACTCGGAGGCTGAGGCAGTTCAAGACCAGCCTGGCCAACATGGTAAAACCCCATCTCTACCGAAAATACGAAAATTAGCCGGGCATGGTGGCAGGTGCCTGTAATCCCAGCTACTTAGGAGGCTGGGGCAGAAGAATCATTTGAAGCTGGGAGGTGGAGATTGCAATGAGCAGACATCACGCCACTACACTGCACTCCAGCCTGGGCAACAAGAGTAAAACTCCATCTCAAAAAAGAAAAAAAAAAATTGTAAAAGAATATTTAATCCTATAAAAAAAAGTTTGTGGCACATTGTTACATATAAAGCATACCCTGATTTTTTTTTTTTTTTTTAATAGAGATGGAGCCTCGCTCTGTCGCCCAGGCTGGAGTGCAATGGCGCGTTCTCAGCTCACTGCCAACCTCCGCTGCCTGGGTTCAAGTGATTCTCTTGCCTCAGCCTCCGGAGTAGCTGGGAATACAGGCGTGCACCACCACGTCTGGCTAATTTTTTTGTATTTTTAGTAGAGATGGGGTTTCGCCATGTTGGCCAGGCTGTTCTCGAGCTCCTGACCTCAAGTGATCCGCCCACCTTGGCCCCCCCAAAGTGCTGGGATTACAGGCGTGAGCTGCCACACCTGGCCCCCATCTCTAATTTAAAAAAAGGCCGGGCACAATGGCTCACGCCTGTAATCCCAGCACTTTGGGAGGCCGAGGTGGGTGGATCACTTGAGGTCAGGAGTTCAAGACCAGCCTGGTCAACATGGTGAAACCCTGCCTCTACCAAAAATACAAAAATTAGCCAGGCGTAGTGTCACACACCTGTAATCCCAGCTACTCGGGAAGCTAAGGCAGGAGAATTGCTTGAAGCCGGGAGGTGGAGGTTGCAGTGAGCCGAGATCACACCACTGCACTCCAGCCTGGGTGACAGAGGAAGACTCCATCTCAAAAAATAAATAGATAAATAAATAAAAATTACAGATGGGGTCCTGCTATGTTGCCCAGGCTGGTCTCAAACTCCTAGGCTCAAGCAATCCATCTGCCTCAGTCTCCTAAAGTGCTGGGGTTACAGGTATGAGCCCCATGCCTGGCCCTTAACTGAATTTTTAAAATTTATTTACATACATAGAAAAAAGACTGTCAAAAAAAAATTATAAAATGTTAGCAAGGCCAGGCACAGTGGCTCATGCCTGTAACCTCAGCACTTAGGGAGGCCGAGGCAGGTGGACCACCTGAGGTCAGGAGTTCGAAACCAGCCTGGCCAACATGGGGAAACCCTGTCTCTACTAAAAATACAAAAAATTAGCCGGACGTGGTGGCGGGCACCTGTAATCCCAGCTACTTGGGAGATTGAGGCAGGAGAATCGCTAGAATCCAGGAGGCAGACGTTGCGGTGAGCTGAGATTGCACCATTGCACTCCAGCCTGGGCAACAAGAGCAAAACTCCGCCTCAAAAAAAAAAAAAAAAAAAGTTAGCAAAAGTTATCTCTGAATGGTAGCATTATGGGTAAGTTATATTTTCTTTTTTTGTGCTTTGCTGTATTTTTCCTATAATAAACATTATTATTTATCAGAAAAAAATCAATAAATATTAAATTTCAAAATAGCTACTTATGTCACAATGACAAGACAGAGCCAACTAGAAACAGAGAATGAAACAGTAAAACCAAATAATCTTCATTTTAAAAATCATTTTCTTACATTCGACTGTAGGCTTTCGATACCAGTAGATCAAATTTACCTAACTGGAATGTATTAATCTGTTACACTGGCTGCAGGCTAACTTTCCAAAACAAAGAGGTCAGCGCCCCACCAAAATATGATCAGGACTTACCCTACAGGGGTGAAGGATGTCTTCTGGAGGACAGTGGCTCTGGAAGCAACAGATTTAGCATGTTCTAGTTTAACAGTGGCCTGAGTCAGAGGCTGAGACAGAACATTGGTGACTTGCAACTGGAAATAAATAAAAAATTATTTGTTACAACAAAGGCTACAGGAGCAGAGAATTTTGTTTCTGGGGTGCTTTATCTATAGGTTGCAAGCTCTGCAGGAGAGCAAATCCCCTGCTTCGGGAAATCTTGGCTGACCTTGGGCCTGCTGCCTAATCCTAAAGTGAATTATTACAGGCATGAGTCACCACACCTGGCCAATATATTGCCTTCTTTCTGATTCCCTATTCTATCCACTCTACTACAGAATCTTTAAAAGAATTTATCAGACTGGGCATGATGGCTCATGCCTATAATTGCAGTGCTTTGGGAGGCTGAGTCAGGAGGATCACTTGATGCCAAAGAGTTCAAGAACAGCGTGGGCAACATGGCAAGACCTCGTTTCTACCAAAAAAAAAAAAAGTTTTTTAAATTAAAAAATTAGCTGGGCATGGTGGCATGTGCTTGTAGTCCCAGATACTCAGGAAGTTGAGGCAGGAGGACTGCTTGAGCCCAAGAGTTAGCATGAGCTATGATTGCGCCACTATACTCCAGCCTGGAAAACAGAGGGAAACCCTGTCTCTGAAAAAGAAAAAAAAAAATGTCTCAGCTAGACTGGGTGCAGTGGCTCATGCCTGTAATTGCAGTACTTTGGGAGGCCGAGATGGGAGGATCACTTAAGGCCAGGAGTTTGGGACCAGCCTGGGCAATACAGTGAGACCCCGTCTCTACTAAAAAATTAATAAATAAATCAGCCAGAAAAATACTTTAGAATGGTATCAGCAATGGGAAAATTAAAGAAATATGGATAATATTAATAACTATCATTTGTTGAAAGTCAACTATATGCATATACCAGGCTAGGCCCTTTACATACATTCTCCTATCAATTGTACGACACAGATAGAATAATCCTTATTGCACAGGTGAAGAAACAAGCCACAAGAGGTTAAGGGACTGCTAAAGGTCACATGGCCAGTTAAGCAGTTGAGCCAGGACTCAAACCATCTATTTAACTTCAGAGTCAATTCTTTTTCCACTTTGTTCTCTTAGCCCCTCTTGACTCACAGGAAACCATGTTACTCAGGTTACTTTCTACCCAAGTCTTTGTTGAGGGTATATGAGTTGTATGTAGGGAGAAAATGGGCAATTTTGAAGAACAGGGTACTCGCTCAGGAGGATATCTGCAGGGGCCACCAAAGTAGAACTAATGGGACAGACAGAACTGTCCTAAGTGGAAACCCAACACTTAGACATTAATAAAATGCTAATTTCTCATGAAGATCTTAGCTTATCACTGGTTCCAAACAACAGCAACAAAACGCCTCATTTGAGATAAAAGTTCTAAGCATATTCAAGATCTGTGCATGTGCTCTGTTCAACGAGTTAACACAAAGGAGAAGTCTATGCTTACTGCTGAGTGAAAGGGAGGACTGTGCTATAAAGAGGCAAAAAGATATCCCATCAAGGACCAGGGAAAAAGAGAACTGATCAACCATAAACACCAGAATTAATTGAGAATTAAAACAGCTGTCGTAAAATAACATATTTAGAAAATTTGGGTACTGGAGGAAGCCTACGCTGCAGTGGGCCATGATCGCACCACGGCACTCCAGCCTGCGCGACATAGCGAGACCGCGTCTCAAAAAAAACCAAAACAAAACCAAAAAAATATGAAAAAGAAAGTTTGGTATTGGGAAGTGCATTTTAGATGCAAGACTTCTCTATACATCTGGAGTTATAGACCTAGAAATGCAATATTCCTGCACTTACTGAAAGCCTGTATTTTTTTTTTTTTTTTTTTAGACAGGGTCTCACTCTGTCACCAGGTTGGAGTGCAGTGGTGCAGTCTCGGCTCACTGCAACCTCTGCCTCCCAGGTTCAAGCGATTCTCCTGCCTCAGCCTCCTGAGTAGCTGGGACTACAGGTGCGCACCACCAGGCCCTGCTAATTTTTGTATTCTTAGTAGAGATGGGGTTTCACCATGTTGGCCAGGATGGTCTCAATCTCTTCACCTCATGATCCGCCTGCTTCAGTCTCCCAAAGTGCTGGGATTACAGGCGTGAGCCACAGTACCCAGCCAAGCCTGTACTATTTAAAATCCTCTAGGGAGAGGCCAGGCACAGTGGCTCATACCTGTAATCTCAGCACTTTGGGAGGCTAGGAGTTCAACACCAGCCTGGCCAACATGGCAAAACCCCATCTCTACTAAAAATGCAAAAATTAGCTAGGCATGGTGGTGTGCGCCTGTGATCCCAGCTACTTGGGAGACTGAGGCACAAGAATCACTTGAACCCAGGAGGTGGATGCAGCAGTGAACCAAAATCATGCCACTGCTTTCCAGCCTGGGTGACAGAGCAAGACTCTGTCTCAAAAAAAGAAACAAAAATTAAAAATCCACGAGGGGAAAAAAATTTTTTTAATAGATTTGAAGGGTTCTGTGGCTAGTTCACCGAGTGGTCATGTCTCCATTTCAAGGCTCAGGGAAATGAGCCTTGCCCTCCATTTAATGGGTATGTCCTTGTAGGGGCTGTAATTGGCTGTGACCATAGTCCAGATTTCTGAAAGCCTTCCACTAGGAATGATAATCAGAGGGGCACACTTTGGGCATGGATGTCTTACCCGCAAGATAGCCTGTTCATGAGTGTCGGAAGCAGAGCCCTCAGGCACAACCACAACTGGCACGTGGTAGCGATTATGCGAGAGCACAGCAGCTGCAGAGGCCACGCTGAAGGCTTCGGAGAGGGACTCAAAGTTCTTCTTGCTGAAGATCGCGTTCATCAGCTGGATGACCTGATCCTGAAAGAAATGCGAAATGCAGCTGTTTCTCTTCCTCTGCTGGGAAGGTGGGAGGGCCACTGCTGTAGAGGAAAGTCACCCTTATCTGTTTCGGGTGTTCACATGGGAGGTCTTTTGGTCAATGATCCAAATTCGTAGATGGAGAAAACGCAAATATTCTGCATTTAAACTTAGAACTTGGATGTGGTTGTTTTTTTTTCCATCTTCCTTTATAAACTGAAATTCATGATTTGTCAGTTATTTAATAAGTGCTTATTATACAGGCCAGGTGCAGTGGCTCACGCCTGTAATCCCAGCACTTTTGGAGACCAAGGCAGGTAGATCCCTTGAGGTCAGGAGTTCGAGACCAGCCTGACTAACATAGAGAAAAACCCCAACTCTACTAAAAATACAAAAATTAGTCAGGCATGGTGGCATGCGCCTGTAATCCCATCTACTCAAGAGGCTGAGGCACGAGAATTGCTTGAACCCAGGAGGTGGAGGTTGCAGTGAGCCAAGATCGCGCCACTGCACTCCAACCTGGGCGACAGAGAAAGACTCTGTCTGAAAAAAAAATCATAATAATGCTTACTACACAAATGCAGGGTACTTCCAGATAACTACTGAGATATGAAACTATATTATGAAATATATATAATAGTAATTATTTGTTAATGTCTATATATGCCAGGCATCATGATAGGTGCTTTACATGCATTAACTCAAATTTTGACAAAAACTATAAAAGATTGCTATTATCAATGTTTCCCAAAAAATGAAACTGAGGCTAAAGGAGGCTAAATAACTTCTGCAAGTTACCACAACATTAGCAAGACCAACATTCAAATGTAGGACTGTTTGTCTCCAAAGTCCTTCTACAAGAAAATCTGTTCTTTCCTGATTCTCATTATCCTCCCAGCTAAGCTACCTTTCCTCCCAACCTACTTGTAAGTAGTACATTGAGGCAAAGTTTTTATTTATAAGACCAAACTTTATAGCTAAAATGTACATTAAAAAGAAACTAAAATAACTCTCCATTAAGAACTAATGGGCTGCTTAGAGGAGAAAACTAAAAGCAATTTTTTAAAAAAGTGGAACCTAAAAGGCATTATTAAAATTCTGGAGGTTATTTGCTTAGGAGGAAACATTTTCCCCTTCAATCAGTTTTGTTTTTTAAAATCTACCATCCAACAAAAGGGCTCTCTTGTTCCTGACAGTGTTATTCACAGTCAACATGAAAGAATTTTCTTTAATTGGACCAATTACAATTTTCCATCACTACTCTGTTGACACGTTAAAATGGGTGACTGTTCACCAGAATTGTTTTGTCAAAAGCAGTGACAGCGAAATTACTCCAGCCAAGTACCTGGTTAGCAGCAGCTTGGAAATAAAGGAAGAAAATGTTTAAGTTGTATAAGTACAATATCATTAATTCATCTACTTTACTGTGTATAGGACAATCAGCAAACAATCTGTACCCTAAGACCCCACACTCTTGCAATTTCACCCATAACAGAAATTAAAAGGGAGTATATTTCTAGACCTCCTACACTTAGGACAAAGGAAGAGACACAAAAAGAATGCAAACACATGAATAACTTATTTGACCACATGGAGAAAATATGAAATTAATTCCAATTATCCAAGACAGATAACTATTTACTTAAAGAAACTTGGCACAAAACTCATAATGCATAAAGAAATGAAAATTCTCACTTAAAACCCAAATCTCTCCTCCTAAAATTTAAATAAAAGCAGCTTGTATTTTAAGTACTTTAGATTAAGGGCTGGTAACTTCTCACAAACAAGGGGTACAAAGACGGTCCTACTCAAAAAGGCTTCCCACATGCATTCCAACTAAAGATTCTTTCAGGTTAACAACCTCCTCTTGAGAAAAAGAATGAACTCTTGGCGGATGTGTGATAGACACACATGCCTCTCAGTGAACTATGTCCATCAGCAAAGATTAGCTAAGATTTAGCCGTTGCTGAGCATAAGGGGGAAGGGAGGAGAAGCAATTGTGAGCCCAGAGAAGGATCTGAATGAGCCACCAGAGTGGAAAGCATTCAGGCGACAAGCAGAAAAGGGTACTGGGAAGAAAGGGAGATGAAACAGGAGTAATACACGTGGCTTCCTTGATACTACCTCGTGACATGTACATACCCCATTTAAAGCAAGCATGGTTTGTTTACACGTCTACCTCACTAGCAACCCATTTCCTGAAGACAGGCATTACATCTTTCTATTTCTCATTCTTAATCCCTAACCCAGGACACTGAGTGACAGCATCCCAAGGTACTGTCTGAACATTCCTCTCTGATAAAAGCCATCCTTAGCAGATACAGCTGATGACCCCTTTGGGTTTCATGCCTGAAAATTGTTAGATAGGTACCTCCTTAATGGATGGCTCAGTCCCCACATGATCCATGAGCTTGTAGGTGGCAGCCACAAATAACGCTGTTGTTTCCAGTCCTTCTTCAAACTGGAGATACACGCCCCCGAGTTCATCCAGGCGAGCAACAAGGTCCTGCCATAACAAAACAGAAATATGCTGGATGTCAAGTAACAGCAGAAATGAGATGCACGAACCACTGTCAACCCCACTGCAGACAGCTTCGTGACATCTCTCACTCTAAATCTGAAGACCATCTCAGTCACTTCATACTTTCTCAAAAATGGTGCTTAGGCAGAGTAAAGTATATCAAACAGACATTTGAGGAGAGCACTATCTTCTGCAGTTTTGGGAGGGCTCCTTCCTTGGCCCCTTGTATGCAGGCCCAAGCCCAGGAGTCATGGCACAGAACACGCCAGCTGCTTTGGGTGGAAAGCCAGTGGGCCAGGCTGCTGTGCACCCAGGAAGCATCATGACACAGATGGAGTCCATGGCCATCCATTTGAATACAACCTACAAAGCACAGCGTTTCCCAGAATTTCTTAATGCTCCAAAAGACAAAGAGAGACATACTGCTCTCCTAGGCAACATGACTAGGCAACCAACGTGCCTGTGAAGCATCCAGTGAGAACACCATCAGGACTGCTTGTCACTCCTGCCAGGCAGTCCATGACAGAGGTCCCAGAGGAGCATGATATTCTGGGCAAAGGCAAGGATAGAGCAATAATAAAAACCACAGTCACCACGTCCTGAGGACCTATTATGTAATAGGCACAAATATTCCTCAGGACACAATACCTTAATACAAAGAACACAAGTGTGCCATGGATATAAGAAGCAATGTAACCTGTAGTAACAGATCATGCATGGCTATCTGCAAGATTCTTCTGCAGAGTGTCAAAGACAGGAGCTGGGAGATGCATTTGGCAAAAGATTCACACCTCAATCTCCTCCACGATGCTCCTCAGGTCAGCCTGCTGGGACAGGTGGGATGCTGTCTGCAGAGCCTGGACTGTTCTGGAAGGTAAAGAGTAGAACCCCAATGAATGGCAAGTCTTGTTTCATCCACTCACCCCTTCCCGTACTTGGACACTTTCACAAATATCCTACTCTTGTTCTTTAGAAGTACAAGTTGGTCTCAGCCTTTAAGGAGTTTACTTATAATCCAGTTAGGACAGATGTGACAAAACCTGGAAAAGATCATCACAGCTGAGAAGGCAACCCAGGCAACAGAACTGGCAAGAAGAACCGTGGGCATTGGGCTGGGCGCAGTGGCTCACGCCCGTAATCCCAGCATTTTGGGAGTCTGAAGCAGGCAAATTCCTTGAGCCCAGGAGTTCAAGACCAGCCTGGGTAAGATGGTGAAACCCCACCTCTACTAAAAATACTAAAAATGAGCCAGGTATGGTAGCGTGTGCTTGTAGTCCCAACTACTTGGGAGGCTGAGGCCCAGGAGGCAGAGGTTGCAGTGAGCCACTGCACTCCAGCCTGAGCAATAGAGTGAGACCCTGTCTCAGAAAAAAAAAAAAAAAAAAAAAAAGATTGAAGCAAAATTCACATAAAATTAACCATTTTAAAAAGCAAACAATTCAGGGGTGCTTACTACATTCACAATGTTGTGCAACTACCACCTGTCTAGTTCCCAAATATTTCCATCAGTCTAAAATAAAACCCATTGGTTGAGCACGGTGGCTCACACCTGTAATCCCAATACTTTGGGAGGCCGAGGCAGGAGGATCACTTAAGCCTGGGGGTTCGAAACCAGCCTGGGCAATACAGTGAGACCTCATCTTTACAAAAAATTTAAATATTAGCTGGGCATGGTGGCACATGCCTATAGTCCCAGGTACTCAGGAGGCTGAGGTAGGAGGATCACTTGAGCTAGGGAGGTTGAGGCTTCAGTGAGCTGTGATTGCACCACCGCACTCAGCCTAAGTGACAGAGTGAGACCCTGTCTCCAAAAAAAATAGATAAAACCCACCGAGCAGTTTCTCCCCATTGTGTCTCCCCTTAGCCCTCAGCAACCAGCAATCTATGTTCTATCTCTACGGATTTGCCTATTCTGCTATTTCATAGAAATGGAATCATACAATCTGTGTCCTTTTATGTCTGGCTTCTTTCACTCAACAGAATGTTTTCAAGGCTCATCCATGTTGTAGCACGTATCTGCACTTCATTCTTTTTTATGGCTTATTCATATATTTTTATCTATAATTCTGGAAGATAAGCTTTTTAAGATGGAACATGATAGATGTATACATGTAAGACTTATTAGATTCTATTATCTTAATACAGATAATTTGGAAAATATAAATGGTGCTTTTCTGGGTGAAACTGGGAGAGGAGAGGCCCCCTGGTGGTTAAACAGATTGCTGCTTCCACCCCGAATGGTTTCCTAATTCCTAAGAGATGACTGGGCCCTTGTGTAAAACCACCACTTATCAAGTCAATATGTCAGGGAATGTAGAGCAAGAATCTGTCTGCTTATGTCAAGAACATAACAATTTAGATTCTCTCCATGGGAAACTCATTCCATTAAGATGACAAGTTGGAAAACAGCAGAGTCGCAATTTACAGAGAGACAAGCCCCAGAGTATTCAACGACACCTATGGGATGCTTGCTGTTATCATACACTTGAGAAAATGAAACCTGAATTTCCAAACAAGACAAAAATCACACATCTGCCCGTGATAAACGCTGTGCTCAGAAAAGGCAGTTAAGATAGCCTAGAAAGAACTTCTCAATTAAGATATCATTTTTTTCTCTTTGGAATGAGAGAGTGCCGTGCTGGTAACAACCTCAGAAGTTTTAGAATGAAA
The DNA here is from genome assembly GCF_000001405.40 of Homo sapiens. Lineage (NCBI taxonomy): Eukaryota > Metazoa > Chordata > Mammalia > Primates > Hominidae > Homo > Homo sapiens. The sequence goes on along the minus strand of NW_025791812.1, from coordinate 111,583 downwards.
TTAATCCACTGAGTTTTAGAAAGTTTTGTCACTGGCTTTAATTACTTATTCCCCAGCCAGCAATTTCTTTTTCTCTGGAGCATAGTACTGTATTCGAACACTAAGAAAGCAGATCTTATCTTGCTAATATATAGCAGATGATTCAGAGAAATTGATTTATGACAGACTACAATGAGATCTTCTCAGGTGGTTCATTCAAATCTACAAGTATTTTCTTTTTTTCCATTCAAGACAAGTTTACAAATATACACTTCCTAGAAAAAGCCCATTTAAATATAGAAGGCCCATTCAGAAGAGTTCTAATTTATATCAGCTTGCCTTTAATAGCGCAAATTAGTAGTAATATAAGGCAACCTACCAGTTGGATTTCACAATGACCCTACGAGACATTCTCCAGGTTTGCATATGAGAACACTGAGGTTTAGGCGGGCTAAACAACCCACTCATGGTCACAGAGGTTGAGTAGAAGAATGGATTTGAACACAGTTCTTTCTGCTCCAAAGCGTATGTTCTTCCTACCTATGAGCTTTCTACAAGACAACAGAAACACAAAAGTATAGTTTCATCCTTTATTAACTCCGTTGGGTACAGACCATGTGCCAGGCTCTCTAAGCACTGCAAGTAAAGCTTATGGCTGGGTGTGGTGGCATGTGATTATAGTCCCAGCTACTCAGAAGGCTAAGGTGGGAGAATCGCTCACGCCCAAGAGTTTGAGGTTGTAGTGAGCTTTAAATATGATCGCATTGCACTGCAGCCTAGATGACACAGTGAGACCCTGTCTCAAAAAAAAAAAAAAAAAAGCTTATGACCTAACATACAAATAACAACAACGAAGGAAGTAACAAACTCTCTAAGAAGGGGGACCTGTTTGTTAGGGACCTAACAAACAAATGGTCCAGAAAAGGAACTCCGTTTCCTACACGCCCACCAAGAACCAGGCACTGCGCTAGGGTCTTCACACCTATTATCTCATTTAATCCTGTCAGTTGCTTTGATGTAAGAATTATGGGTTTCATTTTAAAGGCAAGGCTCAGAGAAGTTAGAAATTTGGCCAAAGTCAGACACAAGGAATGAAATAGCTGGTGTTCAAACCTAAGTCTGTCTGACTCCAAAGTGGACGTACTTCCCTTGTACTTCTTCCTGGGGTTCTGGGGTTTTGAGGAAGGGGATTTTCCCTTCTGCTTGGAAGGAAATGGGAATTTTTTTTGTAGAAGGTAGCATCAAAGTAAGGCACAGGCACTAACAGTGGCATCATGGCATGAGATGATGGTGACTGGAGAAGCATTCCCCATGAGGGATTAAAAGCAGATATCAAAATATGTCACCTGAAATCAAAGGCCCAAAAGGGCCAAGCACTGGACAAAGTGTGTACAAAATGTCAGCCCTAGAGTCACTGATGATTGACCATGTGAATATAGGGAGGGTGTGAGGAGGGACAGAGAGGGAATGTCAATTGCCTGTGAACCCTGTCCTTAACAAAGCTTTAAGTTTACAGAAAATCTGGTTGTCAGCAAAAAAACAAAAAACAAACAAAAAAACCTGGGAAACAATCTCACTGTTTTGAAAGGGGGATTTGGTATCACCAACCTCTTGCTAAACAACGAACGGGATTCCAGAACGGTGCTCCACACCCTCCTTCAGGGTTTGCAGTGAAACGGTGAACACAAATAAAATGACAAAAAAAATATTGTTTTAAAGGAGCAGTTTAAGTGTTAAAAAAAAAAAAATTACAACCGGCCTGGACAACACAGACAGGCCCCATCTCCACTAAAAACTAAAAAAATTAGCTGGGCAGCCGGGCGCTGTGGCTCACGCCTGTAATCCCAGCACTTTGGGAGGCCAAGGCAGGTAGATTGCTTGAGGTCAGGAGTTCAAGACCTGGCCAACATGGTGAAACCCTGTCTCTACTAAAAATACAAAAATTGGCCAGGCGTGGTGGCGCGCCTGTAATCCCAGCCACTGAAGACGCTGAGGCAGGAGAACTGCTTGAACCCGGGAGGCGGAGGTTGCAGTGAACTGAGATCGCGTCACTGCACTCTAGCCTGGGTAACAGAGTAAGACCACGTCTCAAAAAAAAAAAAAAATTAGCTAGGCGTGGTAGTTTGCACCTGTAGTCCAGCTACTCGGGAGGCTGAGGTAGGAAAATCACTTGAGCCCAGAGTTCAAGGCTGCAGTGAGTTTGATCATACCATTGCACTTCAGCCTGGGTGACAGAGTGAGATCCTGTCTCTAAATAAATAAAAATTTAAAACTACATATATTATCACTTAAGAGCTTAGCAAAAAACACCCTGAAGTTACAATATTTCCATTTATAACAAATAGGAAAGGTGCTTCTCCTTCACCTAAGCCTTTTGCAGAGTAGTAGAGTCTGATTCCTAGAATACTCCACCCTCTGAGCAACCACCTCACCCACCAGATGCTGTCTTTCACAACTTCCAGGGATCCTGAGAGCCCCCACTTTGCAGAGCCTCCACTGCCAACATGTCATCCTGCCCTAGCCAAGCCTCAACAAGACATGCACGTGGCTCCTTCTCAGTTATCTGCCCTTGCTCTAGCCCTCCAACCGCACAAGGCAACTGGATCTCTAGGTGGTGGTGTGCTCATGCTCTGGCTCAGCGCTTGCCTTCTGTCTGCGAGGCTTGCAGAAGACTGTGTCCATGTGAGCTCCACGAGGACACGGACCTTACTTGCCTTCATGCAATCATGTCTGCGGTGCCTTGCAGAGCACCTGGCACACGGAAGTATTTACTGCAAGTACTTGCCCAGAAAGTATTTGCTGAACCAATGAATGAGCCCTCTTCGGATAGGACCCGAGACAAATGAAGCCTGAGAAATGCTCGAGATGACAACTCACGCCAGCACAGTCTCCTCCTTGCTGAGACGAGCAGTAAGGGCACTGAGTGCTTCTTGGGATGCCAAGGGAAGGCCAAAGCCACTTAGAGCTGCAACTGCATGGTAGATCTGGGTAACAGATGAGTCCTCACTGACAGCTGCCAGAAGCAGATCTTTGGTCTCATTTGAAATAGAGATCTAAGAAAGAATTGGCAGACACAGAGTTTTAGAACAGGTCTTGGCAATTTGTGGCAGGCATGGCAAAGACAGAATGCGGAGCAGCTGCCAAAGTCACCTCCGCCTCGCACATGCTCATCCCCCTCTAATCCCCAGACACCAGGATGAAATGTTTGCAAAACTTCGGTACAACACTCCCATGTGAAAAGATGCTGACAAGTTACCTTTCTACTTATATGGTTCTCCTATGTTCAACAAAATGACTTCCAGAAACCTCGTGTGGGGGTACACTTTGAACATTTTTACGTGTTAAAGGCAGATGGAAAGGAAAAAATCAAGACCTACCAGAAGAAAAGCAAAAACTGTACAAAAAGGTTATTTAAAACCCTTGAAAAGTAAAAACTTAGGAGAAACATAAACTATACTTTCTTAAGGAAAAAAAAAATCACAGGAATGGAATTCCCACTCACAATAATGGACTCTCATAATTAAAAAAAGGATGTTTGACATGACTCCTCCCCTTTAAAAATGTACTTTAAATAGTTAAAGTCATTGTCAGCGTAGGAACCCGGACTCACCTCACATCCTGAGAGGGCCTGGCTGGCCTGGGCAGCGTAGAAGAGGGAATCCACATTGCTGGGATCAAGGTTAGATCTGATGTAGGTACATGCTTTCTACACAGTGGGGAAAAGTCAATGTTAAGTGGTGACACATGTAGTGAACCAGGAAAAGCAAAGGCGTTTTTAGATAACATTCTCAGCCATTATAGATGGCTTAAGGAATGAGCTACATGAATTTAGTTAAGTAGTTACTTTCCATAGGACACGGTATTACCCAAAATTGCTCACTTCGTACAAAGAGCAATAAGCCTGAAGGCGCTTGAGTCCTTCCGAACCTTAGAAAGGAAAGAAGGAAACCACTTCCCGGATCACCTGTCTGGCCATGGACTGTGCTGGGTATTTAGGAAGCTCTTCCTTTTAACAACATGATCCTTTGGTAGAGATTATCACTATCCCCATTTACCTGAAAAAGAAACTGGGGCTCCAAATTGGCAAGTAACCTGATGAAGGTGACAAAGCTACCAAGTGGCAGTCTCTTCTGATTCCAACTTTACTGGCATCTCCACTTAGATGTCACCAAGGCCAAGTCAGGCTCAACAAATCTAAAATGAGCTTAACGCTGGGTGCAGTGGCTCACATCTGTAATCCCAGGCCTTTGGGAGGCTGAGGCAGGACTGCTTGAGCTCAGGAGTTGAGACCAGCCTGGGTAACATGGTAAGACCCCATCTCCACAAAAAATTCAAAAAGTAGCAGAGCAGGTGGCGCATGCCTGTGGTCCCAGCTACCTGGGAGGCTGAGGTAGGAGGACTGCTTGAAGTTGAGGCTGCAGTGAGCCATGTTCATGCCACTACACTCCAGTCTGGGAGACAGAGCGAGACCCAGTCCCCCAAAAAAATAAAAATAAAAAAGAAAATGAGCTTAAAACCTTCTATTTCTTCACCAGGACTTCCCAGCTCATGCACAGGTAATACCATGCATCCAGCAACCCAAACCAGAAACATGGGAACCATCCTTGACTTTTCCCCACCCTCCAAGCCTATCAAGTCTACCTCTTTTTCATTTCTCAGGCCCAGTCCCGCCTCTGGTTTCTGTCACTGCCTTACAGCAGGCCCTTGCCATTTCTCACCTACATTGTCCCAGTCAGTCATCTCCTAAGCGGTCTAAAGCCATGCAATCCATTCTGCACACTGCTTCAAGACTGATCTTCACAAAATACAAGTGTAACCGTGTTGCTTTACCTTTAAAACCCTTCAGTGGTTCCCTGTTTTTCTCAGACAAGATCCAACTTCTGACACAGCATGAAATGCCCTCAAGACTGACCCTCCCTCTCCATGCTGCCTGCATCACCATAGCCCTAACTCCAACTCCAAAATCTTACCCTCTAGCCTCCTGCAGCTATACCACGCTCTCGCCATTTGACGTGTTTGACCCTGCTACCCACCCTGCCGGGAGCACCTTTTCCTTGTCCTTCCTGCCTGCCAAACCAGGTCCTATCTTCAACTCTGCTCAGATGTTCACCTCTTCCTGACAGTCCTCCCAGGAGAGGCCAGGTATCCACCCTCTCAAGTGCTCCCCCAAAGCACGTACCACACTGCACTTACTAGTTCCCCCAGTGACTAGTGGCCCAAGATCAGGGACTTTGCCAAATGCCCATCACAGTGACTGGCACAAAGGAAACACATCACAAAATCGCCAAGCCCCCGCTACTACGACTCTCCTCGACTCCAAGAAACAGTATCAAATCAATAGACTGCCAATATTTTGGCTGAAGTAATATAAAATTCAGCTATTCAAAAAGATGTGGTAATAATAACAGTTAAAAGTGGGTGCTGGCTGGGCACAGTGGCTCACGCCTGTAATCCTAACACTTTATGAAGGTGAGGTTGGAGAATCGTTTGAGGCTGCAGTGAGCTGTGATTACACCACTGCAGTCTGGCATGGGTGGCAGGGCAACATCCTGTCTCAAAAAAAAGAAAAAGGCTGGGCGCGGTGGCTCACACCTGTAATACCAGCACTTTGGGAGGTCAAGGCGAGCAGATCACAAGGTCAGGAGATCGAGACCATCCTGGCTAACACGGTGAAACCCCATCTCTACTAAAAACACAAAAACAAAATTAGCTGGGCGTGGTGGTGGGCACCTGTAGTCCCAGCTACTCGGGAGGCTTGAGGCGGGAGACTGATGTGAACCCGGGAGGCAGAGCTTGCAGTGAGCCAAGATCGTGCCACTGCACTCCAGCCTGGGCGACAGAGCGAGACTCCGTCTCAAAAAAAAAAAGGTGGGGGGGAGACTAGGCACGGTGGCGCTCACCTGTAGTTCCAGCTACTCAGGAGGCTGAAGCAGGAGAATCCCTTGAACCCGGGAGGCAGAGGTTGCAGTGAGCCGAGATCGTGCCACTGCACTCCAGCCTGGACGACAGAGTGAGACTCCTCTCCCACCAAAAAAAAAAAGCGCGGGGTGCTCCTGGAGAGTAGGACAGGGTGGAGGGCAAGGGCAGCACGCTGCCTTTCACTAACAGCTATTTTGTATTGTCCAATGTTTTACTGTGTGTACATGCTACTCCAACCAAAGCATTTTTTTAATTTTATGAATGAAATTTAAATAAGAGTCTCAAAACAAATGAGTTTCAACCAGAAGTTTTAAAGAAGCCAGAGAGAGAAAGGAAACAAACAAAATACTTCACTTTGCATCAATTAGGGATCTGAAGAGAATAAGTAAAGCTACTCAAGGAGTCCAAGCAGGGGAATGCAAGGCAGCTGAAAATGTGTGCTTTGTCGCCATCTGGTGCTTTAACAATGGAACGACAACACTGGAGACCCCAAAACAATGACTACCTCTACTTCTACCTCTATCATTACCTCTTTCTGAGCACTTAAAATGTGTCAAACGCTGTTCTAAGTGCTTTATGTGCATTTCTCATTTAATCCCCAATCTATCTCATGGATCAGGCACTCTTATCACCTTAAGTTTACAGGTAAGAAAACTGAGGCATTATAAAGGCAAAGTAACTTGTCCAAAGTCACTCAGCTTTTAACTAGGGGAACTAGAATTCCCTGGCTCCAGAAGAGCCTGGCTCTGGTGTCTGAGCTATAAAACCTCCACTTCTCAAGAGCCCACTAAAAACAATCTATTCTGGAGTAAGACAAGCATCATTCCTACACTTTGCAAAGACAAATCAAGGTAAACCAGTCCGGCGTTCAGTGGCTTCAAAGCCCAAGATGTTGACGGCGGAGTTTACACAGCAGCAGAAGCAGGGACACCTCCCAGAACATGCTCAGCCTGCTCAGTGAGCCCACCCAGTGCTGAGGCTTCAGCCAGCTACTGTCGGGGGACTGGAAACTCTGACTCCAGCTGCCCTCCAACGTTCTAGACTCATCTTCCCGACTGAAGGCTGAAAACTGCCCCCTAAATGTCCACCCCCGATCTGCTTGCTTCCAACTTTCTGTGCTAATACCCCAATTAATCAAACACCCTCTTGAGCAAAGAACACCAGTGCTTTCTTCCATCATAGGTTTTCCCCTACAACTCCCTGAACCTAATCAAATACGGAGGCCTATAGAAAAGACCGCAAATCTCTCTCATCTGCCCTCCCCTCCCCTATTTCCTCCATAAACAGCTCCCCGCTACTCTGGCTGCCTCTCAGACTGTGCTTTGTCATCTCTTCAGACTTTGTTACTGTGATGTGCTGCCCAGGCACACACTGGCTGGGGCCCCACGCCAGACCCTTTCTAACCAGGCCCGCTTTTCCCCAGGTGCTTCCTACTGCACTTCCCCACCCATCTCTGCTCCAGTTGCACAAGCACCTCACTGCCCCAAAGCACAACAAGCACTTGGAAGCCTCCAGGCTTTGTACACCCTGTCTCTCCATCTGGAAGCCCATTACCTCGTCAATTCAACTTCTCCTATAATGTATTAACAAAACTCAAGACTTATTTTAAAATACAACTTCCTGGCTGGGCGTGATGGCTCACGCCTGTGATCCCAGCACTTTGGGAGGCTGAGGCGGGTGGATCACCTGAGGTCAGGAGTTCGAGACCAGCCTGACCAACATGGTGAAACTCCATCTCTACTAAAAATACAAAAATTAGCCAGGCGTGGGGGTGTGCACCTGTAGTCCCAGCTACTTGGGAGGCTGAGGTAGAAGAATCGCTTGAACCTGGGAGGCGGAGGTTGCAGTGAGCCGAGATCGAGCCACAGCACTCCAGCCTGGGTGACAAGAGCGAAACTTTCAAACAACAACAACAACAACAACAACAATTTCCCTCAACCCTTCTCTCCCCTCCAGTGCCACCTTCTCTCTTCCCACACAGCCACACTGCTCCAGTCTTCATGTCCTCACCTCCACTCATTCCAATTTGGCTTCTGCCCCCAGCAGGCCAGTGGCAACCTCCAAATTGTCGAAGCAGAGGACATTTTCCAGTGCTCACTCCTCAACAATGGACAGACCGATCACGTCCTCACTGGGAAACATGCGCGCCCGTAGCCTTCTGGGATGCCACCGCACCCTGCTGGGTCTCCTACTTCTCTGGCAGCTCCTCCCTCAGTTTTGAGCTCTCCTGCTGTTTCTCAGCTCCTAGGCCTGGCTCTCATCCCACCACCCCCTGCCTCCCTAGGCCATCCCATCCATGCCCATGGCTTCATCCCAAAATTCTATGCAGATAATTCTCAGACCCGTACCTCCAGCCCAGACTTCTCTCAACAGCCACTTACATGACTCAAAGGTATTTCAAGCTCACCATGGTAAAGACCAAATTCGTGATCTTTCCCAGACAAACCTCATTGTCTTCCTGTGTTGCTATCTCATGGAATGGCCCAACTACCCATCCATGCAGCAGAAGCAGAAAGTCCAGGCATTATCTTTTGTACCCCTCCTGCATTCAATCTTGCCCTGTAGCCCCCTGCTATAGTCTGTCTTCCAAAAAGCAAGAGAGAAGTCTTTCCAAAATGCAAGGTGAATCACGATACTAGCTATTTAAAATATATTGCTCATTGGAAACAGATCAGAACTCTTCCTATGTGGGCCAAGGCACTATGGCTTGGCCCCAGCCTGCCTCACTCCTCTCCCTCCCTCCCACTCTGTTCCACACACCTCCTCCTTTCAATCTCAAATGTAACCTGCTCTCTATCCTCCGCACAGGCTGTTTCCTCTGCCTGAAGTCCCTTCTCTCCTTCGTCTCACAGTTAACTCCTCCTCTCCCTTTAGAATTCAGATCAATCACATCTTCCTTCACTTCAGTGCCTACCACATGCCAGGTGCTGTTCTAGGAACTGGGGATACACAACAAATAAAATAGACAAAGTCCCTGCCCTTAAGGAGTAGAGTGAGATTAGGGTGATGCAGAGAGGTTTGAGTTTTGGGTTTGGGGTTTGTTTTGTTTTTGTTTTGAGACAGGGTCTTGCCCTCTCACACAGGCTGGAGTGCAGTGGCATGATCGTAGCTCACTGCAGCCTCCAACTCCTGGGCTCCAGCGATCCTCCATCCTCAGCCTCCTGAGTAGTTGGGACTACAGGCACACACCACTACACCAGATAATTTTTTTTTACTTTTTGTAGAGACAGGGTCTCATTTTGTTGCCCAGGCTGGTTTCAGACTCCTGGCTTCAGGCAATCCTCCTGCCTCAGCCTTCCAAAGTGCTAGGATTATAGGTGTGAGCCAACACACTCAGCCCACAATGAGATTTAAATTCGGAGATTTCCTCAGGAAAGCCTTTCCTGGCAAATCAAAGTCCCCTATTCTACCCCTATAAAATCCCCTATTTATAACAGCACATATCTCCCCTTCATAAAACTTACCATTGTTGCAAATATTCGTGCATGTATTTGATTACATGATTAATGCCTGTCTCAGCTATTAGACAACATATTCTTAAGAGTGCAGGGGCCCTCTCCCTCTTTATGGCTCAAGAGTAAATCCCCAGTGCCTAGCACTATACCTAGTGCACAGCAGAAACTCACTATATATTTGCTGAGTGACCAAATGAAGCCTGCAGCAGCCAGCACAGATGGCAGCACTCCAGTGCAAGATTGTGGCTTTCTTGGCAGACAGGGTGAGTGCCGGCTCCCTCTGCTGGACTCCCATGGTACTTTCCACAAACAGCCTGTCTGCCTCTTGGCACTTAGCACTGTATTATGGTACTCTCAATGGATAATGAGCTCTCTTGTCTTCTCTGCACTTAGCACAATGTCTGGCACACAGCAGATGCTCCATAAATGATTACTGCGTGAAGGATTGCCTCATTCTCTGCTATCCCCAGGAATGAACTAGTGCCTGACCCACAAACAAATATACTTACTACTATATGCACTCATCATGTGCCAGGCACTACACTAAGCACTTTACACTTATTATCTCATTTAATGCTCACAACGCTTTATAAGGGAGGCATTTTTTTAAAGTAATTTGGTTTCTTTGAGACAGGGTCTTGCTTTGTTGCCCAGGCTGGACTGCAGTGGTGCCATCACAGCTAACTGCAGCCTTAAACTCCTGGGCTCAAGCAATATCCCTGCCTTTCTGCCTCAGCCACCTAAATAGCTAGGACTAGAGGTGCATGCCACCATGCCCATCTAATTTTACTTTTTGCAGAAATCGGGGGTGGGGGGCGGGTGTCTCACTATGTTGCCCAGGCTAGTCTCCAACTCCTGACCTCAAGTGATCCTCCCACCCCAGCCTCCCAAAGTGCTGGAATTACAGGCATAAGCCACTGTGCCCAGCATGTTCTTAATCTTGTAAAAAGCTAAATAATGATATCTGTAAAATCACCTTTCTGACATGCTTATGTTTTATATAAATATAACTCAAATGAAAAATGCTCACTCTTTCTTTCTTTTGAGACAGAGTCTCAAAAAAAAAAAAAGTAGCTGGGACTACAGGCACCCGCCACCACGCCCAGCTAATTTTTTTGTATTTTTAGTAGAGACGGGGTTTCACTGTATTAGCCAGGATGGTCTTGATTGCCTGACCTCGTGATCCGCCTGCCTCGGCATCCCCAAAGTACTGGGATTACACGTGTGAGCCACCGCGCCTGGCCTTTTTTTTGAGACAGGGTCTCGCTCTGTCACCCAGGCTAGAGTGTAGCAGCACAGTCTCAGCTCACTGCAAAACCTCTGCCTCTGGGTTCAAGCAATTCTCCTGCCTCGGCCTCCCGAGTAGCTGGGATTACAGGCATGCCCACCACGCCCAGCTAACTTCTGTATTTTTAGTAAAGACAGGGTTTTGCCGTGTTGGCCAGGCTGGTCTCGAACTCCTGACCTCAAGGGATCCACCAACCTCAGCCTCCCAAAGTGCTGAGATTACAGGCCTGAGACACCGCACCCAGCCGATGCTCACACTTTATAACACCTAAAATCAACTCTCATTCCACACTGCTGTCTCCATAGTTTCTATTCTCATTAAACCCCATTTCTCCCAGTTTTGCTGCTAAAACCTCTTACGAGATAATAACCAAAATCTCTCCAAATATATCGATCTGTGAGAATAGGCAACAGTGTATCTAGGGGAGCCCAGGGAGTTCTCTCTACTGAGCTGAAGGCAGCAACAGCTGAGCAGGACATGCACCGCTACACGGAAGTGACAGTAATGACATAAATCTCTCAATGGATTTATGTAGTTTGCACATCTAATGAGGAAATTCAACAGCTCTGAAACATGCATACAACTCCCTTTCTTCCATTACTTATAATGCACACACCACCTAATCAACACAGCACATTTCATAAGCAATTAGAATGGAGTATGTGATTAACCTATTTATTTTCTGATTAGCAGGCACATTTAGAGAGCTCCCATTTTGATTGAGCTAAAGTCTACAGTTCAAATATTTGTTAGACACCCGTGTGTCAGATGTATGCTAAGCAGTGAGGATGACAGTCTGAAAAAAAAATGTCAATCAATGTGTACCAACTGCTACTACTATTTATATATAGTCATACTACTCATAAGGGTAATACTACGTATTACCACATGCCATCAACGTGCTAACTACCCTGCACACATTATCTGTGAGCTGAGTATTATTATCTCCATCTTACCGATGACAGAACAACAATTTTGAAAGGTTAAATAAGCTGCACAGGTGACTCAGGTGTGAAGTTTTGAAGTTAACACCTTGAAGGCAACCACTCTGACTTCAGCGTCTGTATTGTAAACATAAAGCCACAGCCAGCCCAATCATGTAATTATCCCAAGTCACACTGCATGGCAGCTGGCCGGATGCCTCTCAATCTACATCTTCAGCCCTAACCAACATCCCGCAAACTTGTGATGATGGCAGAGAATAGCTTTGGGGGTATGTGTTCAACCTAAATCTCCTATAGAACTCCAAATCACGACACAGATCAAAAGACATGCTCTGGATGAAGTGGGAGCACCTCATTCCTCCGTGACCCCCTACACCGAATCCTGTGGTTCCACAAAAGTTTGAAAACCTTCAGGAGAAACTTTTCATCCTGCATTCAAATCCTGCCAGAGGTTAACATTACTATTTCAATGTTATCTCCTATACCTCACAATACAAAACCTCTAGTCAATTTGCTCTTTCTCTCTCCCCAGGGCCTCTAAAGACATCACCAAAAACCAGAGCAGAAGTACGAAGCATCACTACAAAAGGCACTGCGAATACAGTGTCTGTGCCAGGCATTGTCTGAACTCACCTAAACAAAGTATAAATAGAAGCAAACCTTTTCAATGTAAGAACGATAATAGCTACCATTTCCTTTGAGGGGCATACTGTAATTTCACTTTCTTCTTACAATGATTCAGTGAGGTAGGCTTCATAACTCCCTTTGCAGAGAGGTGGAGCCAGAATTAAAAGCTTGAGTTAACTGACTCTGATGGGTATACTCTTACTTTTGAGCAGAACTAATTTTATCAGGAGGTACATTCACCTTTAGGGTTTATAAGAGTGTAATCATGAGGAAACGTCTGTATCTTTAATAGAGTCACACACAGGAAGAAAACATTGGGCAGAAACGGAGAGCTGGTTGTCAGGAAAAAATTTGAGTAAGCTGGATCTCATATAGCTGCGATTAGCAAACTTTTTCTGTAAAGGACCAGTTGGTAAATACTTTAGGCTTTCTGGCCAGTCTAGTAACTATTTAACTCTACAGTTAAACTGAAAACCAGTTGTACCCAATGTGTAAATGAATGGATGTTCACACACACACACACACACACACACACACACACACACATACACACACACAGTTTGGCCCATTGGCAAAAATGGAACATTTTGAGCACCAAAAAGGATAACAATTGAAATGGATTGAAAGATATCAATTGCTGAGAGGGGTGGCTCACACCTATAATCCCAGCACTTTGGGAGGCCAAGGCGGGTGGATCACCTGAGGTCAAGAGTTCAGGACCAGCCTGGCCAACATGGCAAAATCCTGTCACTACCAAAAAACACAAAAATTAGCCAGGCGTGGTGGAGAATGCCTGTAGTCCCAGCTACTTGGGAGGCTGAGGCTGGAGGATCACTTGAACCTACGAGGCGGAGGTTGCAGTGAGCTAAGACTACAAAACTGCACTCCAGCCCGGATGACAGTAAGACTCCATGTCAAACAAACAACAAAAAAAGACATCAATTGGAGGCTGGGCACAGTGGTTCATGTCCATAATCCCAGCACTTTGGGAGGCAGAGGCAGGAGGATGGCTTGACCCGAGGAGTTTGAGACAACCCTGGGCAACATGGCAACACCGTCTCTACAAATATTAAAAAAAAAAAAAATTTAGCTAGGCATGGTGACAGGTGACTGTAGTCCCAGCTACTCGAGGGGCAGAGGTGAAGGATCACCTGAGTCCAGAAGTTTGAGGCTGCAGTGAACCATGATCGCACCACTGCACTCCAACCTGGGCAACAGAGCGAGGCCTTGTCTCAGAAAAAAAAAAAAAGACACCAATTGGGACTATCAATTCTGCCCTTGACAGAATTAAATATATTGAACTTCCCTTCCTACCAAAAATAACTATAAAACTGTATGAAATATATGAAATTGAGACACTGAACAACAGACAGCAAAGGCTGGGATCCTTGAAAGAAGGTTAAAAAGTACGACAATGGGCCGGGCGCGGTGGCTCACACCTGTAATCCCAGCACTTTGGGAGGCCAAGACGGGCAGATCACAAGGTCAGGAGATGGAGACTATCCTGGCCAACATAGTGAAACCTCGTCTCTACCAAAATACAAAAAATCAGCTGGGTGTGGTGGCGTGCACCTATAGGAGGCTGAGGCAGGGGAATCGCTTGAACCCAGCAGGCGGAGGTTGCAGTGGGCCAAGATCGCGCCACTGCACTCCAGCTTGGCAACAGAGTAAGCCTTCATCTCAAAAACAAAAACAAACAAACAAAAAGTATGACAATGATAGCAGAAATGATGAGAGTTTAAATGCAAATACAGTTATAGGGTTCTTTTACTATTTGTGACATGGCAAAATAATAATTCAAGATATACCGTGAGAAATTAAGGATGCATATTAAAATCTCTAAACAAAACTAGACAAACACTAAAAAAAAATTAGATCTGAACAGTCAATAGAAGATATAAAACAGAATATTTAAAAATAATCAAGGGGCTGGGCGCAGTGGCTCACGCGTGTAATCCCAGCATTTTGGGAGGCCGAGGAGGGCAAATCACTTGAGGTCAGGAGTTCAAGACCAGCCTGGCCAACATGGTGAAACCCCATCTCTACCAAAAAATACAAAAAATTAGCCAGGCATGGTGGTGCGCGTCTGTAATCCCAGCTACTTAGGAGGCTGAGATGGGAGGATCACTTGAACCCGGGAGGCAGAGGTCACAGTGAGCAGAGATCACACCACTGCACTCCAGCCTGGGTGACAAGAGTGAGACCCTGTCTCAAAAAAATAAAATAAAACAAAATAAAATATAAAAATAAGACAGGAAAAGAGAGGGAAAAACAGGTAAGCCAATAGGAAACAAATAACAAGATGACAGATGTAAACCCAACAATATAATTAAACATAAATGATTGATCTTTTTTTTTTTTTTTTTTTGAGACGGAGTCTCGCTCTGTCGCCCAGGCTGGAGTGCAGTGGCGGGATCTCGGCTCACTGCAAGCTCCGCCTCCCGGGTTCACGCCATTCTCCTGCCTCAGCCTCCCAAGTAGCTGGGACTACAGGCGCCCGCCACTACGCCCGGCTAATTTTTTGTATTTTTAGTAGAGACGGTGTTTCACCGTTTTAGCCGGGATGGTCTCGATCTCCTGACCTCGTGATCCGCCCGCCTCGGCCTCCCAAAGTGCTGGGATTACAGGCTTGAGCCACCGCGCCCCGCCAAATGATTGATCTTAAACATAAAAAAAGAATCAAAATAAAAAAATAAATGGAATAAACTCCCCAATCAAAAGGTAGAAATTATCAGACTGGATGAAAAAACAAATCCCTACTATATACTATTTATAAGCGATAGATTAGTCTGACAACACCTTAATTTACAACTTCATCATCACTAAAAGTGAAATAACCAGATATTATGTATCTATTAATAGGAAGTCCACAGCACCACCTGTGAAATATTTTCACCAAGAAAACCAACCCTGAATATAATTTAGCCTCAAGAGCTAACTATCAGTTTACAGGGATACAAAGGATAGGGAAATATGTTCAAAAACATCATGAAGATACAATTAATCAAAGGCAGAATGTGGAAAATATTCCAGGACAAATGACCTGACTTATTCCACAAATAAATGGTATGGGGAGAAAAGAGGGAATGGGAACTATTATCGGTGAAAAGAGTCTTAAGAGATACCAGCAAAAAATGGAATGTGTAGACCTTCTTTAGATCCTGATTTAAGCCAACTAACTGTAAAAAACACTTTTGAGATAACTCAAGATAACTGAACATAGACTGAGAATTAAATGACATTAAAGAATTACTGTTGGTCAGGCACAATGGCTCATGCCTGTAATCCCAACACTTTGAGAGGCCGTGGCAGGAGGATTGCTTGAGGTCAGTTCATGACACCAGCCTAGGCAACATAGCGAGACCTCATCTCTACAAAATAAATAAATAAATAGAATAAGAGATACAAGTACAACAATATGTCTGATATTTGCTTGAAGACACTCCATCCAGCAAGCCAGGTGCAGTAGTGTATGCCTAAAGTCCCTACAGATTTGGAGTCATTTCCATGCTAATACAAGAAATGGTAGGCAGAATTCTAAAGACATTCATACTCCTCCCCCTGGATTTCCATCCACTGATTATTCATTTAAACACAAATTTAGGAACTGTTATAAAGTGATTTTGCAGGTATAATTAAAGCCCCAAGTCAGCTGACCTTACAATTCAGAGATTATCCAGGTGGGCTGACCCAAACAGGTGAACCCTTTAATAGCAGTTTTCTCTGGCTGGTGGCTGAAGAGGAAGTCAGAGAGAATTGAAGAGTAAGGACTCACCATGCCATTACTGGTTTAAAGGTGGAGGGGCCATGTGAGAAGAAATACCAATGGCCTTGAGGAACAGAGAGCAACTCCTAGCAGACAGCTAGCAAGGAAATGGAGACCTCAGGCCCACAACCACAGGAACTGGATTTTGCTGACAATACGACAACATGAATGGGCCTGGAGGCAGATTCTTCTCCAGTGCTTCCGGGAGGAGCCCAGTTTGGCCAATGCCTTCACTTTGACCTCAGGAGACACTAAGCAGAGGGCCCAGGCAAGCCTGTCTAGACTTCTGACCTGCAGGATTATCAGCTAACAGCGGGGTGCGGTGGGATGCACCCATAGTCCCAGGTACTCAGGAAGCTGAGACAGGAGGATCACTTGAGCCCAGGAGTTCGAGGTTATAGTGTGCTATAATCATGCCTGTGAATAGCCACTGCACTCCAGCCTGGGCAACACAGTGAGACCCTCTCTTAAATAAAATAAAATAAAGAACTATAAGCCATATAAGCCAATAAGTCGGTGGTGTTTTAAGCCCCTACATTTATGGTAATTTGTTCTTCAGTCAAAGAAAACTAAGGCAGATATGAGAAACTTGGCAAAGGAAAATTGTTTAGTCTAGTTGTCCATACTACTATAATGAATAAAATGTAAATTCACTTTAAGACTGTTCCTGGTCAGGTGGTGGCTCACACCTGTAATCTCAACACTTTGGGAGGCTGAGGCAGGTGGATCACTTGAGCCCAGGAGTTTAAGACCAGCCTGGGCAACATGGCAAAACCCCATCTCTAACGAAAAAATACAAAAATTGCCAGGCATGGTGGTGCACACCTGTAGTCCCAGCTACTAGGGAAGCTGAGGTGGATGGCTTGAGCCCAGGAGACAGAGACTGCAGTGAGCCATGATCATGCCACTGCACTCTAGCCTGGGTGAGCCAGACTCTGTCTCAAAAAAAAAAAAAAAAAGACTGTCCCGAATCCAGGAAAGGTTTTAATCATAATGCATTTTCCTCACCAGAAGTCCAAAAACATGTATCAAAATTGCCTGATGTAGTGACTACCATTATTTAATACATGTGAGTGCCTTCCACCTTGAATTCCCTTATTATTAGCCACACACATAGGGGGGCACTTAGTAAGTACATGTGTTATTGGACAGTCTCACTCCCAGAGCTGAAGTAAAAGTTTCTAGATGATCTATGCTTGCTCTTCTTGACATCCCACTAAAAATAACTGATCTGGTATGATCCTTAACATACATTAGGCAAAAAAACAAAAACAAAAACAGATCTGTCAAACTGAAATAAACTTCTTTTTTTGAGACTGAGTCTCACACTGTTGCCTGGGCTGGAGTGCAATGGCGGGATCTCAGCTCACTGCAACCTCTGCCTCCTGGGTTCACACGATTCTCCTGCCTCAGCCTCCTGAGTAGCTGGGATTACAGGCATGCACCACCACACCCAGCTAATTTTTTCTATTTTTAGCAGAGTCAGGGTTTCACTGCACTGGCCAGGCTGGTCTCGAACTCCTGACCTCGTGATCCACCTGCCTAGACCTCCCAAAGTGCTGGCATTACAGGCGTGAGTCACCACGCCTGGCCAAATATTTCTTATATTGGATTAACCTTGGTTATCCTCAAATGAGCAAGAGTTAGTTTTGAACTACCCCAAAGGAATATAGTGAGGGGATGAAGGTTCTCCTGAACCACCCTGACCACCAGGACAAAAGCAGCCTTACCTTTGCATCTGGCACCTGAGCACCAAGGCTGCTGAGTCCCACGATGGAGTAGAAGGCAGATTCCAAATTTGTGAAAGGGCGATCCAGCGAGGCTTTTAGTCTCTCCACGTCATGCTTGGTGAGGTAGTGAGTGGGCGTCAGAGCCCAGGTGCTGGCTATGATTGTCAGGGCCAACAGGAAGACAGTGC
Source organism: Homo sapiens (assembly GCF_000001405.40). Lineage (NCBI taxonomy): Eukaryota > Metazoa > Chordata > Mammalia > Primates > Hominidae > Homo > Homo sapiens. The sequence goes on along the minus strand of NW_025791812.1, from coordinate 93,687 downwards.
TTGAACCTTGGGGGGAAACAACCATTCAGTACACTCTACACTCTTCCAAGGTGCTATACACAGTCCCAATGATGATGCACACCAAGATCTGGGAACCAAATCACATGGGGAAGGGCGAGGGAATCCAGGGGTTTAACCTGAGGAGAAGCCTTGGGAAGGCAGGGAGCCTGCTCTTCAACTGGTGGAAGGACAGTCCTCCCAGCAGCCTCCAAGCATCTAAAGCACAGGCCTTATCCTACTATTCCCATCTGAAAGATGTCTGTAAGTCCTCTGCCTCTAAGGACAAACCCAATCCTGAATCCTCACACCTTGCCAGCCTCTCAACCAGATCTCCTCCCTCGCGCTTCCCGCTATCTGTTGCTCTCTGGCTTCTTCTCTGTCCTCTAAGAAGCCAGGTTCTTTCCTGCTCAGCATTTTTCCATGTTTTTACCTCAACTTGGCTTAATTTTTACTTTCAGAATTCAGCTCAAGCACCTCTTCCTTAAGCAGCTCTCCCTAGGATTAGTTCCCCAGTACAATAATGTAAGGAAGAACCCAGACTCTGGGGCCAGGCTTAAATCACACCTCTGCCATTTATTAGCAATGTGCCCTTGGCAGTTATTCAACCAGCTGGTGCCTCAGTTTCCTAAAGTGTAAAGTGATAATAGTATCTACCTCAGGTACAATTACACGAGTTAATACAGAAAGATCTGGCCGGGCCAGCACTTTGGGAGGCCGAGGCAGGTGGATCACCTGAGGTCAGGAATTTGAGGCCAGCCTGGCCAACATGGTGAAACCCCGCCTCTACTAAAAATACAAAAAAATTAGCTGGGTGTGGTGGCAGGTGCCTGTAATCCCAGCTACTTGGGAGGCTGAGGCAGGAGAATCGCTTGAACCTGGGAGACAAGAGGTTGCAGAGAGCTGAGAATGCGCCATTGTTGCCAACCTGAGTGACAAGAGCAAAACTCCGTCTCAAAAAAAAAAAAATCTTAGAATAATGACTGGCACATAACAAATGCTATATCAATGTTAGCTACTACTTCTACTACTATTATTATTGTTGTGCTTATATCCACTCATAGCAATCTGTACTTCTCTGTGGGATTTTCTACAACTTTAACAGCGTAATGTCTGATTTCTCTGCTAAACTGTAAGTTCCATGAGGATAAAGACTGCTTCTTTTGTTCATCCCAGTATTTCCAAGTCTTGCACACTGCCTGGCACATAGTTACTGAATAAATATTTGCTGAATAAATGAAAAGAAAAATTAATCCCCATCTATGATGCCCCAGGGGACAGGAAGCTGCAGGAGTGGTACATTTCTACTTCATTTATTTAAAAAAACAAAACAAAAAACACTTTTGAATGGGCTGCTTCTTGATAAAGTGCATTGTCTGGCACCCAAGTAACAGCAGTAACAAATAATCACTAGGCTAACATGAGTGGCCCTAAATCCTTTGCCTTTAGTGTTAAATTAAGCTTGAACTAGAATCCTTGAAAAAAGGCACTATTGGCCAGCGGCACTGGCTCACTTCTGTAATCCCAACACTTGGGGAGGCTGAGGCAGGCGGATGCTTGAGCCCAGGAGTTCAAGACTAGACCAGGCGACATGGCGAAACCCTTTCTCTACAAAAAAGAAAATACAAAAATTAGCCAGGCATGGTGGCGTGTGCCTGTAGTCCCAGCTACTCGGGAGGCGGAGGTAGGAGGATCACTTGAGCCCAGGAGGTTGAGACTGCAGTGAGCTGAGATCACACCATGGCACTCCACCCTGGGTGAGAAAGAGAGACCCTGTCTCAAAAAAATAAAAGACAGCTGGGCACAGTAGCTCACGCCTGTAATCCCAGCACTTTGGGAGGCCGAGGTGGGCGGATCACTTGAAGTCAGGAGTTCAAGACCAGCCTGGCCAACATGGTGAAACCCTGTCTCTACTAAAAAGACAAAAATTAGCCAGGTGTGATGGTGGGTGCCTGTAATCCAAACTACTTGGGAGGCTGAGGCAGGAGAATCACTTAAACCCAGGAGGCGGAAGTTGCAGTGAGCCGAGATCGCACCACTGCACTCCAGCCTGGGTGACAGAGTGAGACTCCATCTCAAAAAAATAAAAATAAATAAATAAAATTAAATTAAAAAAAGAAAAAATCTATCACGTGGTGTATTCATCAAATGTATACTGAGCTACTATGTGCCACACACTACTTTAGGTGTTAAAAATACAGCAGGAAACAAAAGAAACAAAACTCCCACCCTCAAAGAGCTTCTATTCTAGTGACAAAAGACATCACATGAAATAACATTATTTATCACATTACAAAGTAAGTGCTATGGAAAAAAATAAAGTACAGAAGAGATATTTGGGAAGGGCTGCATTTTAAATACGGTAGTCTATGAAGGACTAAGAAATAAACATATTGAGTACAGATCTGAAGAAGAAGCAAGTCATAAAGATATCTGGTGGGAAACTATGCTAAGAAGAAAAACCCAATATGGCCAGGCGCAGTGGCTCACACCTCTAACCCCAGCACTTTGGGAGGCCAAGGCAGGGGGATCACCTGAGGTCGGGAGTTCAAGACAAACCTGGCCAACATGGTGAAACCCCATGTCTACTAAAAATACAAAACATGAGCCGCACATGGTGACTTGGCCTGTAATCCCAGCTACTAGGGAGGCTGAAGCACGAGAATCACTTGATCTGGGAAGCAGAGTGGGCAGTGAGCTGAGATCGTGCCACTGCACTCCAGCCTGGGGCTCTGTCTCAAAAAAAAAAAAAAAAAAGAAAAGAAAAACCAAATGCAAACATTCTGAATCAGGAGTATGTACACATACAGTGTTTTTTGAGATCAGCAAGGACAGTACAGCTTGAGTGGAATAAGCAAAGGGTAAGAAGTAGATGAGGTAACAGAGGTAGCAGAGGACAAATCCAGAGGGCCTTGTATACCACCGTAGTGGAAGCCACTGGAAAGTTCTTTTTTTTTTTTTTAGACAGAGTCTCGCTCTGTTGCCAGGCTGGAGTGCAGTGGCGCGATCTCGGCTCACTGCAGCCTCCGCCTCCCGGGTTCAAGCGATTCTCCTGCCTCAGCCTCCCAAGTAGCTAGGACTACAGGCACGTGCCACCATGCCCAGCTAATTTTTGTCTTTTTAGTAGAGACGGGGTTTCACCATGTTGGCCAGGATGGTCTTGATCTCTTGACCTCGTGATCCGCCCGCCTCAGCCTCCCAAAGTGCTGGGATTACAGGCGTGAGCTACCGCACCCGGCTGGAGACCACTGGAAAGTTCTAAGCAGAGGAGTGATTTGACTTACACTCTAATGGTATTACTGTGTTGAGAATAAACAATACTGTGTGGAGAACAGACCATGCAGGTGCAAGGACAGAGCAGGGGACACCAGTTGGGAGACTACCGCCATAATCCAAGCCAGAAGATGATGGTGGCCCAAACCAGGGCAACAGCAGTGAACATGATGAGAAGTGATGAGAGTTAGTCTGGCTAGAATTCAAAGTCAAAGCCTATCAGAAACTGCTAATGGACAGAAAGACCTAAGAGAGAGCGGAGTCAAGATACTAATGCTGAATCCCCAATGCCTTGTGCACAGGCGGGTACCCAATATATGAAGATCTAGTGAATGGCTGCGACTAGCATTTTCCCACCTAGACCGTAAATTCCCCTAAAACAGCACCTGTGTCAGAATCCTAATCTTCTCACTCCATGTTAACGAGAGCAGTAACTTTTCTGACTAAAAGTTGAGCACTTAATATGTTAGGTATGCCCACGCTATGCTGTGCTTTGCACACACCAAATCATTAAATCCTCACAACATCTAAGCAAGGTGGCTATTTTCTGCATTTCACAGACCAGGAAAGTAAGGCTCAGAAGTAGTTACCTGCCCTAGGACACATCACTGAAAATCAAACTTCAGGCAATTTGAATCCAAAGTCTGCTTTTAACCACTTTACTATCCTGAACTTCTCAAATAATGAAACGGTGAGCCACTGACTCATTCATGTGTCACCCTGGGCAAGTAAGTTCCCTTCCGTGGGATTCCAACTTCTCATCTGTCAAATGGTAGTAACAAGAGTACATGCTTCCAAAGTTACGATGAGGCTACATGAAATTCCACCCTGCACAGCGTCTACTCAGTAACTTCCAATGCAGTTAACTTAGTTCTTACCTAGGGCCATGCACTGTTCTAAACTAAGCACGAAGATTATTTCACTTAATAAAGCAACTCAACGAGGCAGATAACGTGACTAATTTGACTAACTTATTTTACAGATGAGAAACTGAGGTGTAGAGGGGTTAAGTAACCTGCTTTGGGTTACACAATGAATACGTGGCCGACTGCAAGTTTGCACCTAGAGTGTCACTTGAGAACTTATGCTCCAGGCTCCCAGAGAGAAGTGAGGGTTTTCTTTGCCCCTTTCACTGAATGGGAAACTACAGCACAAAGAAGGACAATCTGCCCAAAACCTCACACGGAGTAAGGGGCAGCGCCGGGACCAGAACCTTAGGCCGCCTGGCCCAGAAGCCCGCGCGAGTGAAATGAATGAGGCCAGACCTAGGCTAAGCGCGTCCGCGGTCCCCACGGCTGAGCCTCGGGGCGACCCGTAGCTCCGCGCTGCACCCCTCCCCCAGGCACCAACCCCGCCAGGTCGCGGGCACTCCCACCAGCTCGCAGCCCTCCTTCGGACCCTCGATCCGAGAGCGCCCCAGCCAGAGCTTGTGCCCATGCCCCTGTCCCGCAGGGGAAGGGGATCCCGCCTGGCCGGCTCTCGAGCGGCGACTAGTAACCTCCCGCGGGCGACAGCCCTCTCCCCAAAGAGTGCCGGCCGCGGGGCCCTGTCTATAAGCCACGCGCAACTCCTCACCCGGCGGCGCCATTCCTCCGAGCAGGTCCCGCCGGAGTCCGAGCCGCGGGCTGACTTCCGCTCGGGAAAGTGGCTCCAAGAGCCCGCCACAGGGGACGCCAGGGACTCGCGGCAGGCTCTGCGGGCCAGGATGAGTTCTAAGCACAGGTCAGTGTCCGCGGCCCCGCTGAGCTTCGACGCTTCCAGCAGCCGCGGCCGGGATCCCAGTCCTCCCGCTCACAGGGCCTTGCAGTTCCCGAGGACAGACCCGCCTCTCCCCCGCGCCCAGGCCCACTTGGAACCGACCGTCTCGCAACGCTCCTATTCCGGGAGCTACCGGGACGCGGTTGGGCCAGGCCTCGGGGTGGGCCCGAGACGGGGCCGCTTCTGATTGGCCTGTCTGCTGTCACTCACTCGTCTTTCTGCTGCCCGGCCCATTTTAAAGGAACAGGAAGGGTCTCGTCGGGAGGGGATAGCTTAGAAGGGATTTTTTTTTCCTCTTTAGAAAATTGTGGCAGTTTCTGGCCGGGCGCAGTGGCTCACGCCTGTAATCCCAGAACTTTGGGAGGCCGAGGCGGGCGGATTACCTGAGGTGAGGAGTTCGAGATCAGCCTGGGCAACACGGTGAAACCCCGTCTCTACTAAAAATACAAAATTAGCCGGGCGTGGTCACACATGCCTGTAATCCCAGCTACTCGGGAGCCTGAGGCAGGAGAATCGCTTGGACCTGGGAGGCGGAGGATGCGGTGAGCCAAGATCGCGCCATTGCACTCCAGCCTGGGCAACGAGTAAATCTCCGTCTCACCAAAAAAAAAAGAAAAAGAAAATTATGTCAGTTTTTTCCAAAGATTATCAGTGGGGTTGTTAATAACTGACCTACGAGTGACGTTTTATCTGATTTGCAGAGCAATGCAGTGACTCATAGAGAACATATTAGGCCAGTTTTACAGGCTCAACATGGAGGTGGCTCATCCAGGAACACCGCTCTAATAACTAGCGCCAACTACTGAATGTTTACAGTATAACCCGACACTGTGCCGAACGCTCTACAAGCATTATTTCTTTTCTTTCCTTTTTTATTGATACGGGATCTTGCTCTGTCGCCCAGGCTGGAGTGCAGTGGTGCGATCACAGCTTACTGCAGCCTCGACATCCTGGGCTCAAGCAATCTTCCCTCCCGCCTCAGCCTCCGGAGTAGCTGGGACTGCTGCCTTGCGACACCACGCCCAGCTAATCTTTAAAATTATTTTTGGTAGATACCGCGTCTCGCTTTGTTGCCCAGGCTGGTCTGGAACTCGGGCTCAAAGGATCCTTCGGCCTTAGCCTCCCAAAGTGCTGAGATTACAGGCTAATCCCATTTTAAAGAGAAGGAAACAGATTTGAACCTAGGCAGCTGACTCCAGAATCTGTGCTTTTAACTACAGTTTTATGAACATATAAAGTATGCACAATATAACTCTTATTAACGTTATTATTGTCCCAAATGTTATCCCGCATGGGAGAGAGTCAGTTCTTTCTGTGTCTGTTATGATAGCCACTAGCCTTATGTGGATATTTAAATTTGAATTTAAATGGATTAAAATTAAGTAAAATTTAAAATTCAGTCTCTCATTTGTACTAGCCACATTTCAAGTGCTCAGTAGCCACAGATAACTAGTGGATATCAGATTGGACCACTCAAAATTATAGGACATCTTCATTATTGCAGAAAGTTCCATTGGGCAGTGCTGATGTAGAATATATAAAGAATTCTCCCAGCTCAAGAATAAGACAACCAACCAGTGGTGTGCTGGAGCTGTCTCATACTATCTTGAGAGTCCATTGTTAAATTTGCAGTAATTTTGCAAATTGGTTAAATACAGCCATTTAGAAAATTATATCAATTTAGGATGAAATAAAGTATATTGAAAACAAAACTCATTATTTTCTAATTATTTCACTACATTTTACGTTTTGTGTGCTTTTGTGGTTGCTTATATCTGTTGTAACTGTGTGGTGGAAATATATGACAGTATGCCATTGAACATCTCTTCCCAAGGTAGTATTGGTAGCTTGATTTTGGCCATGATGGGAGTATTTACACCACAGACTTAGCATATGCAGCCAGGAATGGTGGCTCAGTCTGTAATCCCAGAGCTTTTGGGAGGCTGAGGTAGGAGGATCACTTGAGTCCAGGAATTCGAGACCCACCTGGGCAACACAGCAAGACCTGCCTCTACAAAAAAAAAATTTTGATTAGCCAGGTGTGGTGGCTCGCATCTGTGGTCCTAGTGACTAGCTGTGGACCACAGATGGGAGCCACCACACCTGACTAATGAAAAAGAAAAAGACCAACAATAGCAAATGTTGGCAAGGATGTGGAGCAACAGGATCTCTCATATCCTGCTGATGGAAATGTAAAGTGGTACGACCATTTTGGAAACAGATTGACAGCTTCTTCGTTGTTTGTTTGTTTGTTTTGAGACAAAGTCTCCCTCTGTCACCCAGGCTGGAGTGCAATGGCACAATCTCAGTTCACTGCAACTTCCATCTCCTGGGTTCAAGCGATTCTCGTGTCTCAGCCTCCCGAGTAGCTGGGATTACAGGCGCGCGCCACACTGCCTGGCTGAATTTTTTTGTATTTTTAGTAGAGACGGGGTTTCACCATGTTGGCCAGGCTGGTCTCAAACTCCTGACCTCAAGTGATCCACTCACCTCAGCCTCCCAAAGTGCTGGGATTACAGGCGTGAGCCACTGGCGGTGGTTGTTTTTTACGAGGCAAGGTCTCCATCTGTCGCTCAGGCTGGAATACAGTGATGGAATCATAGCTCACTGCCGCCTTCACCTCCTGGACTCTAGGACCCTCTTGCCTTGGCTTCCTGAGTAACTGGGACTACAGGCACATGCCACCACCCCCAGCTAATTTTTTGTAGAGATCGGATTTTGCTATGTTACCCAGGCTTGTCTCAAACTCTTGGTATCAGGCAATCCTTTCGCCTTAGCCTCCCAAAGGCAATGGGAATACAGGCGTGAGACACAACACGTGGCCAGGCAGCATCTTAAGAAGTCAGTTACACAATCTACCACACAACCCAACCATTCTGCTCCTAGAGGGTTTCTTTGTTTTTAATGAACTCATTTTTTATTAAAGAAATATATGCATACAGGACAGAGTTCAAACTTTATTGGTTTGGGGTGTCCTTCCAAAATTGTTTTATTGGCTGGGCGCCGTGGCTCATGCCTGTGATCCCCACACTTCGGGAGGCCAAAGTGGGCAGATCACCTGAGGTCAGGAGTTTGAGACCAGCCTGGCCAACATGACGAAACCCTGTCTCTACTAAAAATATAAAAATTAGCCGGGCGTGGTGGCAGGCACCTGTAATCCCAGCTACTCAGAAGGCTGAGGCATGAGAATCACGTGAACCCAGGAGGCAGAGAGGTTGCAGTGAGCTGAGATTGCACCACTGCACTTCAGCCTGAGCGACAAAGTGAGACTCTGTGTCAAAAAAAATAAAAATTAAAAATAATAAATAATTTTAAAAAATGAATTCCGTAAGTTGTGTTTTTGTTTCTTCTAGAGACAAGTTCTCTCTGTCAGTCAAGCTGGAGTGCAGTGGTGCCATCATAGCTTAAACTCTGCAGTCTTAAACTCCTGGGCTTAAGGGATCATCTTGCCTCAGCCTCCTGAGTAGCTAGGACTACAGGCACATGCCACCACACCTAGCTAATTTTTTACTTTTTTTTTCTTTTTTTTGAGATGGAGTCTCGCTCTGTCGCCTGGGCTGGAGTACAGTGGTGCAACCTCGGCTTACTGCAAGCTCCACCTCCCGGGTTCACGCCATTCTCCTGCCTCAGCCTCCCGAGTAGCTGGGACTACAGGCGCCCGCCACCGTGCCCGGCTAATTTTTTTGTTTTTTTTTTTTTTAGTAGAGATGGGGTTTCACCCTGTTAGCCAGGATGGTCTCAATCTCCTGAACTCATGATCCGCCCTCCTCAGCCTCCCAAAGTGCTGGGATTACAGGTATGAGCCACCGCTCCTGGCCAATTTTTTACTTTTTTGTAGAGATGAGGTCTCACCGTGTTGCCCAGGCTAGTCTCGAAGTCCTGAGCTCAAGCAGTCCTCCCACTTCAACCTCCCAAAATGCTGAGATTACAGAGTGAGCCACCATACCCAGCCTCCATAAGTTTTTTTTCATGTATGCCAACATTTGTGTGTGTGTGTTTCTGTGTGTATACACATATACTTATACTTTTGTGAAAATAGTTTTGTTTTAATGAAAAATGTCATATCCATTGTTTGACAGCTTGCTTTTTCTTTCATGAATCTATGCTAAACATTCAGTAAATAGAGACCTGCTCAATCATTTACTCTGCCAATAATTGTTGAGCACTTCTGTATGTCACTGTTCTAGACTCCTGGGATACATTCATGAACAAAGCAGCCAAAGATTCTTGCCCTCATGAAGCTTACATTTTAGCAGGAGGAAATAAATGACAATGAACATCATAAACAAGTGAAAGATATATTGGAAGGTGTTACGTGCTATGGTAAAAAGAAAAAGTAGGAAAGGGTAAGGAAGATAGAGGGAGTTTGGTGAGGTGTTCTACCTCAATCTGGTTTTTTTGATGGGTTTGTTTGTTTTTTGAGATGGAGTCTTGCTATGTCACCCAGGCTGGAGTGCAGTGGCACAATCTCGGCTCACTACAACCTCCACCTCCCAGTTGAAGTGATTCTCCTGCCTTAGTGTCCCGAGTAGCTGGGATTACAGGCATGTGCCACCATGCCCGGCTATTTTTTGTATTTTTAGTAGAGACCAGGTTTTGCCATGTTGGCCAGGCTGGTCTTGAACTCCTGATCTCAGGTGATCTGCCCGCCTCAGCCTCCCAAAGTGCTGAGATTACAGGCGTGAGCCACCTGCACCCAGCATTGTTTTTAACAGCAGCATAGTATTTCTTACCTATCCATTCACTCCTAATGAGACTGACAACATGCTAGGTAGGTATTGGGGATACAAATGTGACCATGTAGACGAGGGTTCTCTCTAATGGAGTTTATAGTCTGATAGGAGACAGTCAAACAAATAAACCAAATGAGCAAGGTAATTGTAGGTGGTGGTTAAATACCATGAAAAAAATAAGAAGGTAACTGTGGGGCCAGGATGGTGGGAGCTACTTAATCTAGATTGGTGATGAATAAATGCCTCTCTCAGAAAGTGACATTGAGGCTTTCAAATAAATGATGAGACAGAAGCAGTCCTGGAAAACTAATTTTTCGCATCTCCTCTTTATTCCTAGGATCTGTAGTCAGGAAGAAGTAGTGATCCCCTGTGCCTATGACAGTGATTCAGAAAGTGTGGATTTGGAGCTGAGCAACTTAGAGATTATTAAAAAAGGCTCAAGTAGCATTGAACTGACAGGTAAAAAGGAGAAAGGACTAGAAAGGGGAGGGGAGGGGAAAAGAGAATGTATTTTCAACTCAGGCCAAGAGGTATTGATTGAGTACTTGCTGGGTGACCAGCCCTTGACTAGACTTTGATGATGAATTTGGTCCCTGACTTTGAGACCTTGAAATACAGTTGGCAAAATGAGATACATGGTTCGTGATGTCCAGGAAACTAAGGTTGGTCCTGAGACAGTTCTGCAGAAGAGTGTGAGTGCTTGAGGGATTCTGAGGAGGGAAAGGGCAGTGTGGGATACCTTGGAGTGGGAGGACTTTATGCAGAAGGTAAGATCTGGATTGGGCTTCAGAATAACTTTCATTCTACAAAACATGTATTGAGTACCAGGAGCTGGGAATACAACAGTAGACATGACCAACATGGTCACTGCCCTCATAGAACTTACATTATTGTGCAGAAAAGAGACCAAAAAGAGTAAACAGTCACTGAAGTAACTACAACTTGTAGTAAGCAGTATGGAAGAACAGGCTGAGACAAAAATAAGGGCAATAGGAACCTACTTGAAACTCTGGTTGTCAGAGAACACCTGTATGAGACCATGAGTGCTATTTAAATCTAAAGGAGGCTTGAAAGATGTGAGAGTAACTCATGTGAGTATAGGGAGTACTACAGATAGATGGGGACAGCATGTGCATGACACAGGAAAGATCCTGGTGTGTTTGAAGCTACCTTCATTCATTCATACATTCATTCAGCAAATACTTAATGAAGCCCTCCTGTGCTCTAAGCTTAATCTAGCAGCTGGAGATATAGCATCGAACAGAACAGACACAGTATACCTACGGATGAACAGGCAAATGGAACTCAGTGCAATCAGTGTGATGGGGGTGGGAGAGCCAGAGTGGATACAGAGCGGTTTATTAGTGACTTGGGGATACTTAGCCAAAATAGGCAAAAAGGGCATACACGAAAGGCATCCTGGAGCTGAGACTTGAAGGATGAGTAGGAGTTAGCAAGGCAAAGATAGGTAAGGGAAGGTGGGGGAGAAGAAGGAGAAAAATGCAGGCAGAAGGAACAGCCTGTGCACAGATCAGAATGAGAACATGGCTTCAATTATTGCAATTAGTGGATGATAGGAATATGGCAGGAAGTGGGTAGAGTTTACTGAAGAGGCATTCAAGAAATCAAAAAGAATGCAAAAGTAGAGTGGTGGCCGGGCACGGTGGCTCACATCTGTAATCCCAGCATTTTGGGAGGCTGAGGCGGGTGGATCACCTGAGGTCAGGAGTTCGAGACCTTGCTTGGCCAACATAGCGAAATCCCATCTCTACTAAAAATACGAAAATTACCTGGGGGTGGTGGCGTGTGCCTGTAATTCCAGCTACTTGGGAATCTGAGGCACAAGAATCGCTTGAACCCAGGAGGCAGAGGTTGTAGTGAGCCAAGATCGCGCCACTGTACTCCAGCCTGAGCGACAGAGTGAGACTCTTGTCTCAAAAAAAAAAAAAAAAGAATGGTAAAAATCTTCAGATGAAAGATGTGTTAAGGGGGAAATACTTCTGGGATCAGTTCTTTGCATGTATTACCTCATTTAATTCTTATAATAACCCTGTTTTACAGAAAAGGAAACTTAGGTTTCAGGAGGCAAACTAGCTTGATAAAGGTCATACAAATAGTAAGTGGTAGAGCCAAGATTCAAACTAGTCTCAAATTGAGATTTAAAGTCCATAGTCTTAACCATTCTGCTACAGCTCAGTCCCAAAGGTTTTTTGTAGCTTAGGAGGCCCTTAGAGAACATTGAATTTATTTTTGAGAAAACTGAGTCTAGGAGACAGGATGGGACTTGGTTAAGGTCATAGAGCAAGTAGTAAAGGTGAGCCAGAGGTACTCCATACTAAACCTTATCACTTTACACAGTACGGAGGCATCATCCAGTGTCTTTCTTTCAATGTTAGACTTGGACATCCCTGACATCCCTGGACTCCATTGTGAGCCCCTGTCACATAGCCCCAGACACCTGACCCAACAGGACCCGCTCAGTGAGGCCATTGTTGAGAAACTGATCCAGTCCATCCAGAAGGTTTTCAATGGTGAGCTAAAGGTATGCACAAGCAATTTTTATGAGTTATCCAACTTATTCCTCCATTTTAACAAATATTTTAAACATATTATTTCTTGATTATACAAATAATTTTATATTATAGGTTATAAAACATGTTTGTTTTATATTTATAATACATATATTTACATATATTTATAAATTATACTTACATATATAATTATGAAATTAATGTAAAAACAAAGAAAACCATAATAAAAATTAAAAGCTAATCTTCCCTAATTCCAGTCTCAAATAACTACTGCTGACATTTTGGTTTATATTTTTTTAGACTTTTTTTTTTTTTTTTTCTGAGACAGTGTCTCACTCTGTCGCCCAGGCTGGAGTGCAGTGGCACAATCTCAGCTCACTGCAACCTCTGCCTCCCGGGTTCAAGTGATTCTCCTGCCTCAGCCTCCTGAGTAGCTGGGATTACAGGCACGTGCCACCATTGCCCAGCTAATTTTTGTATTTTTAGTAGACATGGGTTTCACCATGTTGACCAAGCAGGTCTTGAACTCTTGACCTCAAGCAATCCACATGCCTTGGCCTCCCAAAGTGCTGGGATTACAGGCATGAGCCGCTGTGCCTGGTCCTCTATGGCTTTTAAATCCCATTCACCCAATCAACAAGTAATGAATGAACAGCTACCATTTATAAGGCACTATGCTAGACGCAGGGAAGAAGTTGGAGTAGTAAGATTAAAGACTATTCACAGATAAACAAACTGGGCCACAAACAGACCGAGACCCTGTCTCAAAAAATATAATACTATTCAGCAATTAAAGGAGGGAACTATCGATACAACAGCAAAGATGAATCGCAGAGGCATTGTGTTGAGTGAAAGAAACCAATCAGAAAAGGTTACAGACTGTATGATTCCAGTTGTGTGACATTCTTGAAAAGACAAAACATGGTGATGCAGAACAGATTAGTGATTCCTAGGCATTAGGGTGGGGAGAGGATGTGACTAAAAAGGGATAGCAGGAGAGAAATTTAGGGGATGGTGGAACTGTTCGTATCCTGATTGTGGTGATGGTTACACATGTGTATGTGTGTGTTATAACACATGGAACCACATGCTTCCTGCCGAAATCAGTTTTACTGTATGATACATTTTTAAAAATCATGTTGTCACTTTGTACCGCATAAATATATACAACCATAATTTGTCAATTTACCAAAACACACACAAAACACACACATACACATACACACAAAACCACACAGAGCCTCCACTGGAAGGAGGATGAGGGAAACTTCAGGAATGCTAGTAATAATCTGTTGCTGGCTACAGGGTGTTTTTTGGTTTGTGAAAATCCACCAAACTGTACATTTTCTTTATGTAGAATACCAATGAAAAATAAAAATAAAACATTTAAAGCCAACATGTTGGCCTTCACTTTTGACTTCAGCTAATCCTTATACTTCATATCAGCATGGTTTTCTTTCGATTTCTTTGTAGTTAATGAAGGGCTTGGATTGCTGCCATGAATTGAAACAAAAAAGCCCATTACCTGCCTTGAGCTGATTCCACAGTCAGTCAGGGAAATAGATTAATAAGAAGGTCATTATGTCAGAGTATCGCAAGTGCTGTGATAGCAATTTATTCATGTGGTTTGTAGATACACTTAGAAAGGACACTGGACCAGCCAGGCGCAGTGGCTCACACCTGTAATCCCAGCACTTTGGTAGGCCAAGGTGGGCAGATCACGAGGTCAGGAGTTCAACACCAGCCTGGCTAACATGGTGAAACCCCCATCTCTACTAAAGATACAAAAAATTAGCCGGGCATGGTGGCAGGTGCCTGTAATCCCAGCTACTTGGGAGGCTGAGACAGGAGAATAGCTTGAACCTGGGAGGCGGAGGTTGCAGTGAGCCAAGATCATGCCATTGCACTCCAGCCTGGGCAACAGGGTGAGACTCTGTCTCAAAAGAAAAAAAAGAAAGGACACTGGACCCTGCTTCAGGAGCAAACGCATTCTCCAAGTCTTAAGATATATAGAGATTTTTTTTTTCTTTTTTGAGACAGAGTCTTGCTCTGTCACCCAAGCTATAGTTCAGTGGCGCGATTTTGGCTCATTGCAACCTCCGTCTCCCAGGTTCAAGCACACCTATAGTCCCAACTACTCAGGAGGCTGAAGTACAAGGATCCCATGAGCCCAGGAGATGTAGACTGCAGTGAGTGGTGATCACGCCACTGCACTCCAGCCTGGATGACAGAGCAAGACCCTGTCTTAAAAAAAAAAAAAAGGTTCTATGATAAATAGGAATTTTATATATATATGTATGTATGTATAATTAGAAAAGAGGCCGGGTGCAGTGGCTCACGCCTGTAATCCCAGCATTTTGGGAGGCCAAGGCAGGCAGATCATCTGAGGTCAGGAGTTCGAGACCAGCCTGGCCAAGATGATAAAACCCCATCTCTACTAAAAATACAAAAATTAGCTTGGTGTGGTGGTGCATGCCTGTAGTCCCAGCTACTTGGGAGGCTGTGGCAGGAGAATCACTTGAACCCAGGTGTACCACTGCAGTCCAGCCTGGGTGACAGAGCGAGACTCCATCTCAAAAAAAAAAAAAAAAAAAGAAAAAGAAAAAGAGAGGCCAGGCATGGTGGTTCTCACCTGTCATCCCGTCATCCCAGCACTTTGGGAAGCCAAGGCAGGTGGATCACTTGAGCTCAGGAGTTTGAGACCAGCCTGGGCAACATAATACAAATAATTAGCTGGACGTGGTGGTGCGTGCCTGTGGTCCCAGCTAGTTGGGAGGCTGAGGCGGGAGGATTGCTTGAGCCCAGGAGGTTGAGGTTGCAGTGAGCTGAGATCGTGCCACTGCACTCCAGCCTGGGTGACAGAGCGAGACTCCATGTCAAAAAAATAATAATAATAATAGTAATAATAAAATAAAAAAGAAAAAGAGAATGTTAGTACTGAGAGATTTTATTCTTCCAATCAGAACTTGGATTTTAATAGGAAATTTTAAAAGCAAAATAATGAATTTTTAATGACATTGAAAGAACTAGAAGTAACAGAATCAGAGAGGTCACCTTTAGGAAGCTTTTTTTTTTTTGAGATGGGATCTCACTCTGTCACCCAGGCTGGAGTGCAGCGGCACCATCTCAGCTCACTGCAACCTCCGCTTCCCAGGTTCAAGTGATTCTCGTGCCTCAGCCTCCCAAGTAGCTGGGACTACAGGCACAGGCACGCGCCACCACGCCTGGCTACTTTTTTGTATTTTTAGTAGAGACAGGGTTTCACCATGTTGGCCATGCTGGTCTGGAACTCCTGACCTCAGGTGATCTGTCCACCTCGGCCTCCTAAAGTGCTGGGATTACAGGCATGAGCCACCATGCCCAGCCTAGGAAGCTTAATCAGGCAACACTACACAGGACAGGCAGGTAGAAAAGCAAAGACTAAGAGTGGGGAAAGCCAGGATGGAACATGGAGCTGAGAGGAGAGCCGAGGTCTCAAAGCAAGGCAGGGCCAGCGGACAAGGAATTTCACTGAAATCTTCCGTAATTTACTCATTCTTTGTAATAAAAGACTGATATTGGGTTGAAAGAGATGTCAGATATTTAAAGCATTCCAAGAAACTTTTCAAAAACTCTCCACAGTTATTCAAATAAGATTATGACATATAATTGTATTTTTATCATTTTCCCACAAATTCAGGGTGAACTTGAAAAGCTGAAATTCCTAGGAGATCTGTCTTCTCTCAGCCAAGCTTTACCTTATGATGAAACCGCAAAATCATTCATTCACAGCCACATAGCAGACATTGTGCATACCTTAAATGTAAGTATTATGACCTTATCACAAATGATTGGGATCACACAAATTCAGTGACTTGGCCAAAGCATTTTTTAGTGGCTTCACCTATGTTATCAATTCACTTGAACTCTTCTAGTATCAGTATCTCCACATGGAGGAGAAATACTCATGGCCACCCCACACATGTAATCACCCTTGAAAACCAATTAAAAGAAGAGTAGAAAGGACAGGAACAGCATTTGAATTTCTCAGCAAGGCCAACGCTACATTCTCATGACTCAAGCAGTAGTTCCCAGACAGTCCCCATAATCGTATGCCTAGGTTCAGGGGACAGCCCTGCCTTTTTATAGCTGTGAAACTGTAGGAAATTACTTCACTTCTCAATGCCTCAGTTTCCTCCCCTATAAAACAAGAATAGCTATATCTACTTCACAGAGCTATTGTGACCATTAAATTCAAAATAAATATAAGCCATGTCCATGGTACCTAATACACACGAGCCACTTGAGAAACATGACTATATTATTGTTATCGTATTTTGTTCTATTTGTACTTACTCCAGCCACACTCTGCCACCAACTCATCCATTCATTCCCTCATTAAGTGCCTGACAGTTCCAGGAACTGTCTTGGGAATTTGGGCTACAAAGACAAAGAAGACAAAATCCCTATTTATGCAGCCAAGCAAGGTATAATAAAATGTCACAGGAACTGTGACAAGTTTAAATAGGCATATGGGGGGCTGAGAGTAGAGATTGAGTGGTCAGTTCCATGGCAAAGGATCCAGAAGGGCATTGCAAAGGAGCTGATGCACTCAAGCAAGTACTTCTTGGTGTTTTAGTTTTCTCATCTGTGAAATGTCTCCTTCAGTTTCTCTAAAGCTTTAAAATTCTGATGTTGAAATTTCTTACATACTCCAGAAATATGAGTAGTTCTTTCTCATATCACAGATCTATAAGGCTGATTAGACTGATAGCTTTTATAATTCAAGGCTAACCAGCTAACAGTTTTAAGTAATGGACAGTTACCAAGGATCTTCTATATCCAAACACACTGTGGTGCTTTGATAAAGGTTACGCATTTCCTGGAAACCTTAATCCTTGCCCTTGAAGGGTTTAGGATCCATCTGTAAGTAGCCATATTTCAAAAAGTAAATAGGTTGAGAACTATTCCAAATAATACATTAAGAAGAACAGGATGATATAATACAGGTTTAACAACAAAAAGCGGCGGCTCACATGTGTAATTCCAGCACTCTGGGAGGCCGAGGTGGGCGAATCACTTGCGGTCAGGAGATTGAGATCAGCCTGGCCAACATGGTGAAACCCCGTCTCTACTAAAAATACAAAAAATAGCCGGGCATGGTGGCAGGCGCCTGTAATCACAGCTTCTCCTGAGGCAGGAGAATTGCTTGAACCTGGGAGGTGGAGGTTGCAGTGAGCTGAGATGACACAACTGCACTCCAGCCTGGGCAACAGAGTGAGACTCTGTCTCAAAAAAGAAACAAACAAACAAGCAAATAAAAAAACAGTTTGAGACCAGTTTGGGCAATGTGGTAAAACTCAATCTCTTAAAAAAAAAAAAAAAATTAGCCGGATGTGGTGGTGCATGCCTGTAGTCCCAGCTACTCGGGAGGCTAAGGTGGGAGGATCAGCTGAGTCCAGGAGACAGAGATTGCAGTGAGCCGAGATCAAGCCACTCTATTCCAGCCTGGGTGACAGAGTGACACCCCATCTCAAAACAAAAACAAAAACAAACAGAAAACAAATGCAGCTTTCTACTTGGCTGTACTCCTTGGGAAAGGGGATGTAGGCAACCGCAGGATCATAGGACCCAGCCAGAGTGGCATGTTTCTAGAGCTCTAGTTTCACCAAACTTGGCAACAATGGGTTGCCACATGGTTCAACCAGCCAGTCCATAAAATCCACAAATGCAGGTCTCAACAGCAACAATGTACTGAATTACACACTGAATCTGCATTTGCATCTGTCCACCCAGTAATAAAATGCCCACATCAGATGTCAATCAAAGTATAGGCTGGCAGGGGATTCAGCCTAGAAGAGTTAAAGGTAGCTAGTATCCATGAGAAAATTGCATGGATCACTGCAGCATTGTGTAAGTCTACAAAGTCCCCACAGGCCCACACATGGGGGCTGAAAAAGCACAGCTCCCAGCAACCAAAGGGAGAGGTGCCCAAGAGGAGAAGCATTTCTGCTGAGGAACCGACAAGGAGGAAGAAGCCAGGGTCATTATAGAGAAAGAAAACGTTAAGGCATTTACCAGTGCTTGTGACCCAAACCAGTGCATGGCTCCAAGTATCCAAATTAAAAAAGCCAAGGAAGCCAACAATAGAAAGTGGAAAGAAGGGGGAAAAAATGTTATGGCACTTCACCAAATATTTCTTTTTCTTTTTTTTTTTTTTTTCTGAGATGGAGTCTTATTCTGTCACACAGGCTGGAGTGCAGTGGCACAATCTCAGGTTACTGCAACCTCCGCATCCCGGGTTCAAGTGATTCTCCTGCCTCAGCCTCCCAAGTAGCTGGGATTACAGGCACCTGCCACTGTACCCAGCTAATTTTGTGCGGTTTTATTAGAGACAGGGTTTCACAGTAGAGACCAGCCCAGGCTGGTCTTGAACTCCTGACCTCAGGTGATCTGCCTGCCTCAGCCTATCAAAGTGCTGGGATGACAGGCATGAGTTCACCAAAAATTTCTCAAAATAAGCACATGAAAAGATGCTGATCATTGTGATTAGGGAAAAGCAAACTAAAACAACAGTAAGCTTCAACTATACACCTACTAAAATGGCTAAAATAAAAAAGAAAGGCAATACCAAATATTGGCAAGGATATGGAGCAACTAAAACTCTCATACAGTGTTGCCAGGAATGTGAAATGGCACAACCACTTTGGAAAACAATTTGGCAGTTTCTTAAAAAGTGAAACATGCACTTACCATATGACCCAGCAGTTTCACTCCTAGGTAAAACAAAACATATGTCCACACAATGATGCATGCACAAATGTTTACAGCAGCTCTATATGTAAAAGCCAAACCCTAGAAGAAGCCCAAGTGTTCATTAGCAGGTGAACGGATAAAGAAATTGTGGTATTGTATATCCACATGATGGAATACTACGTGAGAATGAAAAGGAACTATTGAAATATGCTACAACTTGGAACAATCTCAAAATAGTTATGCTGAGTGAAAGAACCCAGATAAAAAAGAGGATATCATGCGTGATTCTATTTACATGAAATTCGAGAAAATGCCAATGAATCTATAGTGACAGCAGAGCAATGGTAACCTAGAGGCAGAGGTTGAGTGAGGAGGAGAAGGAGCGAGGAATCACAAAGTAGCACAAAGAAACTTTTGGAAGTGATAGAAATGTTCATTCTCTTGAGGATGGTGATGGTTTCATGGATATATACATATATCAAAAATCATCAAACTGTATGCTTTAAATATGTACAGTTTATTGTATATTGTAAAAAATATACAATATACAATATAATATAAAAATATACATTATATAATGTTGAGAACTTTAATGAAAAAGAAAAGAGGCTGGGTGTGGTAGCACCTGCCTGTAGTCCCAGCCACTGTCGAGGCTGAGGCAGGAGGAACACTTGAGCCCAGAAGTTGGAGGCTGTAGTGAGCTATGATTGTACTTACGAATAGCTACTGCACTCCAGCCTCAGGAACATAGTGAGACCCCCATCTTTAAAGAAATAGAGAGAGAGGGAGAGGGAGACAGAGAGAGGAAGAGAAGGAGGAGGGAGGGAGGGGAGGGAAGGGAAAGGGAGAAAGAGGAGTGAGGGAAGGAAAGAAGGAAGGAAGGAAGGAAGGGAGGAAGGGAGGGAGGGAGCGAGGGAGGGAAGGGAAGGGGAAGAGAAGGGAAGGAGGGAGAGAGGAGGGAGGCAGGGAAGGAAGGAAGGAGAAAGGAAGGAAGGAGAGAAAGAAAAAAGAAAAAAAGGAAGGAGAGAAAGAAAAAAAGGAAAGAAAAAAAGGAGAGAAAGAAAGAAAGGAAAGAAAAAGAAGAAAGGAAGGAGAGAAAGAAAAAGAAAGGAGAGAGAAAGAAAAAGAAAGGAAAGACAAAGGAAAGAAGAACGAAAGAAAAGAGAAGAGGAGAAATGAAAAGAAAGAAAAAGAGGAAGGAAGGAAAGGGAAGGGAGGCAGGCTGTGGCAACTGGGATATAGAATAAAGTGACAGCAGGATTAGGGTGAAATTAATCCAGGTGGATCTGACCTAATCTTTGAAAGATATGATGGATAGGATTGAGAGAAGAGAGAAAGGACCACTGGGTAAGGACTTCAGATGGTAAGCTGAAGAATGCTACTTGGCTATGCCAAGGCTAGGGTTCTGCATTCTGCAATATGGCAGAGTGGCCAGGAGATGGTTTTTAGTGACTCAACAACAGACATGAGCACCAAGACCTACTGTAATAAAATTTTAATGTAACCAGATTTGCCTCTTAATTCTCCTCTGCCACCATGGGACTCCATCGGAATTCTATATCTGAGGTCCTCCACAAAACCCTCCCCACCTTGGACAAATCACTTAGCTTATCTGAACATCAGTAGCTCTACCAGTAAAATAAAGATATTCACATCTGCTCGGCTTTTGTTAAGACCTTTGAGACAGGCTGGGCACAGTGGCTCATGCCTGTAATCCCAGCATTTTGGGAGGCTGAGGTGGGCAGATCACCTGATGTCAGGAGTTTGAGACCAGCCTTGCCAACATGGTGAAACCCCGTCTCTACTAAAAATACAAAGATTAGCCAGGCATGGTGATAGGCGCCTGTAGTCCCAGCTACTCCGGAGGCTGAGGCAGGAGAATCGCTTGAACTTGGGAGGCAGAGGTTGCAGTGAGCCAAGATCACACCACTGCACTCCAGCCTGGGCGACAGAGCCAGACTCTGTCTCACAAAAAAAAAAAAAAAAAAAAAAAAAAAAAAAAAAAAAAAGACCTTTGAGACAAAACGTCTAATTTTGTTTGGATTAGTTAGGATTCTTCAGGCAAGAAACAAAAATCACCTCTGGCTCACGTAAGTTACCAAAAAAAAAAAAAAAAAAAAAAAGGATGCTGGGATATCTCTCTTAGACTCTAAGGATGAGGTTTAAACAAGCCTCCAGAAAAGTAAGTTTCAGGACAGCTCCAGAGCTCTCAGAGGCAGGGGCTTCGCTACCATCACCATGACTCAACCCTCTAGCAACTCCCGCTTTGTGCCTGTCACTGTAAGATTCCAAATTCTGCAAGAGAAAATCTGATTGGCCCAAACTAGTCTGTTCCCCACCCCTGCATCAATCAGGTTTGCCTGGGGGCAAGATCATATAGTAATGATATGACTTCTGGGTGTCCCACCCTGCGTTTCGGAGGCGTTCCGAGGGAGAAAGGGTGATTGCTGTGATCTGGGCAGTCACCCAGAAAGTTCCTGCTACACACATACTCTACTAACAAAAAATACCCTCTCACTTTTGAATTCCCTGTGGAGGCCAGCATAACTGTGAACAAATAATAAACCTTCAATACCCAACTGATTAAAAAAAGAAAAGATGATTCTGGCAGAAGTGGATCAAGTCAATTGAAGTCAGAGGGGATTGCAAGCCCGGGGCTTCAGCTAAGAGACCCTGCTTTCATCCATATGAAGGCGTATGGCTCCAGGAATGGAGAGTCACAGAAACCGTGCAGAGCAGGGGGTGGCTGATGCTATAACTGATAGGAGGTAGGGCTTGAACAAAAGAAAGAATCATGAATCACCTTTTTAGTGAGCCCTGGGAAAGGGAACAGTTGACAGCTATTAAAGGATAGGAAGCTGTGTTCTTCGCACGGGGACCACAGTGAACTGACTTTAATGCCAAAATTCTGGGGATGTTAGTGGTGTGCCCTGGAGATAACCAGATGCAGATGAGTAGAGCCCTGGGAGAGCTGTCAGGGCTAAAGATAGAGTCTTAGGCTTTGTCCCTTCTGGACTATAAAGCCGCAAGAATAAATGTGCTCCTTGAGAAAATAAGGAAGAAAGCAGCAGCCCACCAGCAAGATCGGAGTCAGACCAAAGCTGGAAAGTAAGAGGAGAAAAACTCAGAAAGGGGCAAGAAAGGGAACCTTGTAGTGTTTAGTGAGCACTTACTGCATCCTAAGTTTTTTTGTTGTTTTTGAGACGGAGTTTTGCTCTTGTTGCCCAGGCTGGAGTGCAATGACACCATCTCGGCTCACTGCAACCTCCGCCTCCCGAGTTCAAGCGATTCTCCTGCCTCACCCTCCCAAGTAGCTAGGATTACAGGTGCCCACCATCATGTCTGGCTAATTTTTGTATTTTTAGTAGAGATGGGGTTTCACCATGTTGGCCAGGCTGGTCTCGAACTCCTGACCTCAGGTGATCTACCCGCCTCAGCCTCCCAAAGTGCTAGGATTACAGGCGTGAGCCACTGCGCCCAGCCTGCATCCTAAGTTCCTAGTGAGATCTTCTTGGTTGCAGGTAAGAGAAATCCTCTAGAAGCAGCTGAAACACAAAAGGTGAGATTTGTTCTAAGGATCACTGAGTGCTTCCCAGAACCCCTTGACAGGAGGAGCAGCCTGACCCAGGAAGGGAATGAATCTAGAAAATAAAAACCTTCCACATACTCAAGGAGAACTTTCCATATCTTATTTTTGCTCCTTTGTATGAATTTCCATTTCTCCTCTCTCTCTCCCTTTCCCCCCACCCCGTCTCCCTCTCCCCCATCTTCTCTCCCCAAAATTGGCCCTCTCAGTTGCCTCATCCACAGGGACCAGTGCTTCCAAATTTTAAATTTTTTCCTTTAGAAGACCATCCAGACTGAGATTGAAGCTCTGTGTCCCAATTCCAGATTCCAGAGAGAATCTAATAGACCTTGGTGTCTACTCTGGGACAGATGAGCTGTAGCCAGTGGGACAGAATGACCTAGCAGACACAGAGCTTTGAAGTACCCATTTCTGTGGGTTGGGGACAGTTCCCAGAGGGGCCTGGTGGACAGTCCAGCAAGGCTTCTGCTACAGTCTTTTTTGTTGTTGTTGTTGGGGGGACAGAGTTTCACTCTTTCACCCAGGCTGGGGTGCAGTGGTGCAACCTTGGCTCACTGGAACCTCCACCTCCCGGGTTCCAGCGATTCTCCTACCTCAGCTTCCTGAGTAGCTGGGATTATAGGCGCCGGCTTTCGAACTCCTGACCTGAGGTGATCCACCCGCCTCAGCCTCCCAAAGTGCTAGGATTACAGGCGTGAGCCACTGCGTCCAGCCAGCTACAGTCATTTACATTAGCTCATTTTCTCCATACAGATAAGGCAACTCAGGCACAGGGAGTTAAATGACACATTCAGGCTCACACAGTGAGTGAGTGGCAGAGCCAGTGCGCAGCCCAGGGACTGTCCCACTCCAGAGCCCCTGCTTATCACTCCACGGGTTTTTCCAGCACAGCAATGCACTTTCCCTCTGCCAGTTTGTAAATTGGAAAGTTATTCTTTTTCCGGGACAAGTAACTCAGAATAATATTAGATGTGATCATAGAGAGATGGCTGGTTTAGTGGAGAGAGGAGTTAGAATGCCTAAACTAGAAATAATCACTGGTGATAAAAAGAGTGAATAACAGACACTAACAATTACACAGGGCTGCTGGGTGTCATGAATTTGCTCAGTGAGTACTCATAGCCGCCCCATGAAGGTAAGTATTCCTGTTTTCTGGTTTTACAGATGAGGAACTGAGGCACAAGGAGGTTAAATAATTTGTGTCAGCTCAAACACCTGGTAAGAGGCAGAGCCAGGGTCTGGGGTCTGGCTCAAGAGAATAAACCCCTATCCCTGTCACTGTCCTGCTGCCAGGCATCTGGGGCCTAAGAGCAGGGCTGGCTGAAGGACCTTTTGTGGTTCTTGCTGGCCACCCAGTCTCTGATCGTCACTGGCCTAATGAATGGGTACTTTCTCAACTCTCAAGTTCTTTCCCTCTCATTGCAGGTACTGGTACAAGAGGAACGCCCGCATTCTCTGTCCAGTTCCATGCGCCAGGAGGTCTTTGTCACCATCGCTGATCTCAGGTGATGCCCACACGCCCCTTACACGGGCATCCTGGTTCCTCTCAGGGCCAATGCCAGGTCCAACTGACATGACCCTTTTTTTTTTTTTTTTTTTGTTTCAAAAAAAAAAATTTTCAATGGAGTCCATTTCAATGGAGTCTCGCTCTGTCCCCCAGGCTGGAGTGCAGTGGCACAATCTTGACTCGCTGCAACCTCTGCCTCCTGGGTTCAAGCAATTCTCCTGCCTCACTCAGCCTCCCGAGTAGCTGGGATTACAGGCGTGCACTACCATGCCTGGCTAATTTTTGTATTTTTAGTAGAGACGGGGTTTCGCCATGTTGGCCAGGCTCGTCTCAAATTCCTGACCTCAAGTGATCCACCCACCTCACCCTCCAAAAGTGCTGGGATTACAGGCGTGAGCCACTGCGCCTGGCCATGATCCATATTTTTAACTTTTGAAAACTGTTTATGTAGAAAAGAGGAAGCCAAATCCGTGTTTTTGAGTAAGCACTTTGATTTCATATATGCTACTATCCATATCTGAAAGACTTTATTGGAATCTCTTTGGAGTTCAGTTTTGTCCAAAGTATATTTGGCAGGAAGTTACTCCCATATATGTCTCATGACATTAGAGTTCCGGCTTCTAAGAAATTTGGAAGGGCTGCCTATTGTCTACCTCTCAGAGATTTATATTGTAGTGATTAAGCTGATCAAAGACCCTGAGAAGTCTTGTGGTTAAAAAGTTTTTTAACTAGATTCAACCCATGATTCCCCAAATGAACATTCAGCAGAATATGCTTTGGAAAATTGTGGCTTACCACGTTAGACTGTAGCAGGCTTCCCTCTGTGGCTGAACTGAAGGGAAGCCTGGAAGGATATTGCTCCAGTAACTTCTTGGGGGAAAACTTCCTCTAACCTTTTGTGAGATTTATCTGAACAGACTGACAAGCTATGCCATTTATTTCTCACATCAGAACAGTACACTAGCCTGTCTACCCTTTCCTTTTTAGTTGATCTCTGCTTATCAGTATCAAATCAAACCGTCTTTCCAGCTTGCTGTTCCCAAACTGTCTTTTCTTAGTTACCAAGATGTCCATTTGCTGTTGGGCTCTGAAGATCGAGCTGAGTTGTTCAGTCTTACCATCAAGAGTATAATCACTCTGCCCTCTGTAAGGACCCTTACCCAGATACAGGAAATCATGCCCAATGGGACCTGCAACACAGAGGTAACTCATGCTTTGCTTTAGTAACTTTCCATCCACAGGGTCAGCTGATCTTGGCCTTTGGAGAGTGCATTTGATTTTTTGAAACTAGCCAAAAACCATAAGCCAAGTCTGGTAAATAAAATAGGTGGTTAAATTAGAAGATAGCTTCTTTCAACCCTTCATTTTGTCTTCTTTCCTTTTCCCTTTATTCTTTCCTTCCTTTTGGCTTTAAAATAAGGTGGGAGCACTCGCTTGTGTGCTTAACGTTTATTTAAGCACACAATGTGCCGTATGTCATCATATGCCAAAAATGATGATAGGCAGTAGGAATACAGCAGTCCAGTCCCACTCACGGAACTTACATTCTAGTGCAGAGAGACAAACTGTTGATACATGCATATAATATGTCAGCTGATAATAAGTGTTATGAAAATGTAAAGCAGGGAAAGAGCAGGATCAAGGGCCCTGTGGTTGGGAGGCACATGGGTGGTCAGGCAAAGCCTTCATGATGGGATGATAATTGAAAGAAAAGAGGTGTGGGTATGTCTGGAGAGAAAGCTTTCAAGCAGAGGGAAGGGTACGTGCAGGCCTTGATCTCTTCTTCAGTGGCGAATAAACTGGTTGGTAAAGCAGTTACCCAAGAGGACTTTATTCCCCTCTGTTTGAAGATATCAGAAAGAGTCACAAGCCAACTTTAAAGAATCTTGATGACCCTTAAGCAGTTCCCCAGATGTAGTAAGACTCAGTCAGCTGTGATCCCTCTAGTGCCGAGGCGCCTGTTTGAAATGAAGATGTATTCCTTTTTACCTCATGCCACAAACAACCTACTAGTACCTTTACACTGGTACTGCAACTTTGAGTAAAGTCTTAGGGTCACATGAAGAGCCTCCAAAGTGTCCCATGCTAGGGGAACTTCACGTGGGGCCAGGGAGTGTTGCTGATCCTGTGCCTTTTCAGTGTCTTTACAGGCAGACGTTTCAGGCATTCTCTGAGATGCTCCAGAGTTTGGTGGTAAAAGACCCACATTTGGAAAATCTTGACACCATTATTAAGGTAAACAAGATATCAAGGGAGAGTGGGAAATGATTCCTATTAACTGGTGAAAGTGGGAGATGAAAATGTGGAAGTATTCAGTGGTAAGAGGCAACGTAGTAAAGAGTATCAGCTATCAACTTTGAGTCAGAGACTTGGGTTCAAATGCTGACTCTGCCATTCATTGGTTACACGTCCTCCCGCTAGAAATTCTGCAAGGAATTTGCTCTCTCAGTGTTGCATTTCTTCACATTTACATGGAGATAATAATTACTGTGAATATTGAATAAGTGGCCTTCAATAAATTATTTGTTTATTTATTTTCAGAGACAGGGTCTTGCTCTGTGGCCTAGGCTGGAGTGAAGTGGCACCATTATAGCTCCCTGCAGCCTCGAATTCTTGGCCTCAAGTTATCCTCCCACCTCAGCCTCCCAAAGTGCTGGGATTACAGGCATGAGCTACTGCACCCTGTCACAATAAATTGTTTAAATAGTTGCTTAATTATTCCTTAAATTATTCCTGGGGGCAGGGCGCAGTGTTTCACGCCTGTAATCCCAGCACAGGCCAAGGCAGGTGGATTATTTGAGGCCAGGAGTTCGAGACCAGCCTCACCAACATGGCACAACCCTGACTCTACTAAAAAATAAATAAATAAATAAATACAGAAATTAGCCAGGTGTGGTGGTACACACCTGTAATCCCAGCTACTCAGGAAGCTGAGGCATGAGAATCACTTGAACCCAGGAGGAGGAGGTTGCAGTGAGCAGAGATCGCACCACTGCACTCCAGCCTGTGTGACAGAGAAAGACTCTATTTCAAAAAAAAAAAAAAATTATTATTCCTCACTAGTATAGAAGGGTTTTATTCAGTGATGAGGGAAGGGTCAGCCTCAAGAGTTAGTAAGGCCAGGCACGGTGGCTCATGCCTGTAATCCCAGCATTTTGGGAGGCCAAGGCAGGCGAATCAATCATTTGAGGTCAGGAGTTCAAGACCAGCCTGGCTAACATGGTGAAAACCTGTCCCTACTAAAAATGCAAAATTAGCCAGGCATGGTGGCGCATGCCTGTAGTCCCAGCTACTCGGGAGGCTGAGGCAGGAGAATTGCTTGAACCCAGGGGGCAGAGGTTGCAGTGAGCCAAGATTGCGCCACTGTACTCCAGCCTAGGCGATAGAGCGAGACTTCTTCTCAAAAACAAAACAAAACAAAAAAAGAGTTAGTAAATAAGCAGCTTCCTACCAGATGATACTCAAAGGTTATAATGACGAACTGCTCTGACCTGCACCTGTTCCTGTATATGCTCTTCCATCACTAGAGATTGATTCATTGGAATTCATTCACTGCATTCAGGTATCTTGCTCTCCTACCCTTTTTTTATTGTTGTTATTTTATTTTTATTTTTCTTATCCTTTTTTTAAGATGCAGATATCCCAGAAAGGGATAAGGCTTTAAGCTATTATTAATCGTTTGCACCCAAATGATGCATTTATTGTTGTCCTAACTGACAAGCAAGGCACAAAAACCTAGGCAGTCGAGTGGTTTGGCTGCTACAGGAGCTTATTTTCTAGCTTATTTTCTTAAATGCTCTGATGGGCATTTATTCTCATCCTAACTGACCTTAATACTACTTCTCATTCCTCTTCTATTTGTACATTAGCATACCAGCCAGATTGGGTTTCTCCTCTTTATGCAGTTGTACTTTGTACTTTCCTGCCTTGGCAGCTTAATTCAAGCCTTTCTTTTTCTCTTTTTTTTGAGACTGGATCTCGCTCTGTCACTTAGGCTGGAGTACAGTGGCGCGATTTCAGCTCACTGCAGTTTCCGCCTCCCGGGCTCAAGCAGTCGTCCCACCTCAGCCTCCCGAGCAGCTGGGACTACAGGCACACGCCACCATGCCCAGCTAATTTTTGTATTTTTTTGTAAAGATGGGGTTTCACCATGTTGCCCAGGCTGGTCTCCAACTCCTGGGCTCAAGCAGTCAGTATAATCCCTCCGGCAGTGCTGGGATTACAAGCATGAGCAACCACACCTGGCTGTCCTCAGAGTTAAACTTTAAAATTAGTAGCATGTTGTTAACTTTATTTCTTTCCAAAGCAGATTTGAAAGAGCTAAAAACATTCAGAAGTACAGAATAATTAATTGAAGAATTGGGCTGAAGAGAAAGTAAGTCTAGAAAATAAGCTCTGGCCAGGCACAGTGGCTCACGCCTGTAATCCCAGCACTTTGGGAGGCCAAGGCGGGCAGATCACCTGAGGTCAGGAGTTCGAGATCAGCCTGGCCAACATGGTGAAACCCCGTCTCTACAAAAATACAGAATTAGCTGGGCGTGGTGGCGAGTGCCTGTAGTCCCAGCTACTCGAGAGGCTGAGGCAAGAGAATCACTTGAATTTGGGAGGCAGAGGTTGCAGTGAGCCAAGATCACACCATTGCACTCCAGCCTGGGCAACAGAACAAGACTCCATCTCAAAAAAAAAAAAGAAAAGAAGCTCCTAAGCTCCTATATAACAACCAAACCACCCACCACCCATGTCTTTGTGCCTTGCTTGTCATTCTACCACTTTTATTTCCAACCTGAGCTATAATAGCATTTAGCAAAGTATTTTGAGATCTGGTAGCAACATGGAACTTGTCACTCCACATTTCTTTCTAAACACAATAAGGATGGTATCCCAAATCTTCCTGATAAACCATTTAGCCTCCCTTTATTTCTCACAGCACTTGGTCCCCTGGTTACAGTCAGTCAAAGACCATGAGCGGGAACGGGCCACGGCCAGCATGGCTCAAGTTCTGAAGTGCCTATCCAAACATCTCAACTTGAAGGTGAGCGGCCCTTCAGTTGCAGAGGAGGAAAGATCCAAAGCCATTCCCTCACTGCCGATTTCTCCTCCTCTTTATAACTCCCCAGGCTGGTTCTGTGTCCCCTTCGTGCTCATGTACTATCATAGCACTTAGCATTGTCTTCTTATCTGCTCTTCTCCTGAGCAGCTTGGGGCCAGTTGCTGTGTTGATTAATCTTTGCATCTCCATTGCTTAACACAACAGCTGGAACATAATGATATAGTAACTATAACCTGAAAATACCTGAGGCCCATGGTGGCTAGTCTCTGTATAGTATTATATTTGAGTACAGCAGGCAAATTTAAATAAATCAACTTCAATATCTCCCAGCAACTCAAAGAGAGTGGTACTATGGCACCTCTTCAGATCCTCACATTTCTCTTTCTCTCTCTCACTTCTCAGTTCTGAATCATCTCCCCTATGGCATCTCATTATTATGATGATCATTATTCAAGGCAGGGTCTTGATCCATCACTCAGGCTGGAGTGCAGTGGGGCCATCATAGCTCACTGCAGCCTTGAACTCCTGGCCTCAGGCAATCTTCCTGCCTCAGCCTTCCAAGTAGGTGGGACTACAGTCACACGCCACCACGCCTGGCTAATTTTTATTTATTTATTTATTTATTTTGGTAGAGATGGGGTTTCACCATGTTGCCCTGGCTGGTCTCAAATTCCCAGGTTCAAGTGGTCCTCCTTCCTTGGCTTTCCAAAGTGCTGGGATTACAGACGTGAGCCACCACGCCCGTCCTCTTCTGGATTTTTCTGAGGAAGGTCCATAGTTTTTTTTTAAATCAATTTTATTGAGGTATAATTTGTATACAATGAATTTATCCAATTTAAGTATACAGTTCAATGAGTTTTGACAAATATATATTATCTGGGTCTCTAACTTTTTTCATATTCTCAAAGAAATCTAAAGAATAAAGAATAAAAAAGGAAATGCTGAAGAAGCATTTAGTAATCAAACTAGGAGCGTAATTCTTCAGTGGCCTTTTTTGTCTTGATAAAGTTTGGGGGTTCTTAATATTATGATTATAAAACTTAGGGCCGGGCGCGGTGGCTCACGCCTGTAATCCCAGCACTTTGGGAGGCCGAGGTGGGCGGATCACGAGGTCAGGAGATGGAGACCATCCTGGCTAACACGGTGAATCCCCGTCTCTAATAAAAATACAAAAAATTAGCCGGGCGTGGTGACGGGCGCCTGTAGTCCCAGCTACTCGGGATGCTGAGGTAGGAGAATGGCGTGAACCCGGGAGGCAGAGCTTTCAGTGAGCCGAGATCACGCAACTGCACTCCAGCCTGGGCGACAGAGCGAGACTCCATCTCAAAAAAAAAAAACAAAACTTATTAACTGTTTGTCATTCAGTGACAGGTGCAGGCCACCACGCCTGGCTAATTTTTGTAGTTTTAGTAGAGACGGAGTTTCACCATGTTGGCCAGGCTGGTCTCGAATCCTTGGCCTCAAGTGATCTGCTTGCCTCGGCCTCCCAAAGTTCTGGGATTACAGGCAGAGCCACCGCGCCTGGCACCTTCCAAGTTCTTTTTTGTGCATGAGTGTGTTGGGGTGGGGGCTTCCATTTCCAATTTGTTCTCTACATATAGCCAGAGTCATCCTCTTCAGACCCATGTCATTCTTGCTTTTGTTTTGTTTCCTTGTTTTCTCCCCTGTGTTTTCTTTATTTTTCTTCATTTTCTTTTTTTGCCCCATGTCACTTCTTTGATCCAGTGATTTCCAAACTGATCTTAGAATACGGGGTCATGTCTGATGTAGGTCTGTCTACCTCTCTACACCTAAGTCCCCTGACTTATCACACAGCAGCCACCTTTACCTTCCTTCTTCCCACATAAGGCTCATCTTGCCTCATGGCCTTTGCACTTGCTGCCTTCTCTGCTTGGAATGACCTTCCCTAGCTCTGCACAGAGCCAGCCCCTCCTGGTTCTTTAGCACTGTGTTCAGATGTCTCGACCTCAAAAGGGCCTCTGCTCACCACAGACAGACCTACGCTTGCTCTCTGTCTCATCACTCTCTCCTTCCTAGGGCTGTCTAGAATCAGAGGTTATCTGGCTTGATTCTTTCTTTACTGCTGTGTTATCTGTTTCCCACTAATAGAATGTAAATTCTACCAGTGATTATGCTTGTCTTTTTTTTTTTTTTTTATGTGAGACAGGGTCTTGCTCTGTCACCCAAGTTGGAGTACAGTAGCACAATCACAGCTCACTGCAGCCTCAACCTCCTGGCCTTAAGCAATGCTCCTGCCTTAGCCTCCTGAGTAGCTGGGACTACAGGCATGTGCCACCATGCCTGGTTAATTTTTTTGTTTTTTATACAGATGGGGGTCTCACTATATTGCCCAAGGTGGTCCAAACTCTTGGGCTCAAACAATCCTCCCACCTCTGCCTCCCAGAATGCTGGGATTACAGACATGAGCCACTGTGCCTTGCAATTATACTTGTCTTGTTCAGCACAGTAGCCTCAGTGCCTGCCTAGCACAGAATCGGCCATGTGGTTGATGCTCAATTCAATATTGATTGAGTAAATGTGAGTCAACCCATGTCCCTTCTCTGCTCAAGACCCTCCGACGGCCAAAGTCCTCACAATGTTCTACAGGTTGCGACACCTTCTGGCCCATTCTTCATCTACTTCCTATTTCTTTCCCTATCGTTAACATCGCTGCAGCCAACCTAACCTACTTATGGTTCCTCAGAAACACCAAACATACCTTCTCAGTCCTTGGCGCTTGCCATTCTCTCTGCCCAGAATACTCTTCTCCCAGGTATCAATCTCTCATTTCAATATTAGTGAGGCCTTCC
Organism: Homo sapiens; assembly: GCF_000001405.40. NCBI lineage: Eukaryota > Metazoa > Chordata > Mammalia > Primates > Hominidae > Homo > Homo sapiens. The sequence goes on along the minus strand of NW_025791812.1, from coordinate 61,707 downwards.
CTGACCATCCTAAAATAATAATTCTTATCCCTTTCCCCTGAATTTTTGTTAATCATGACATTTATCATCATTTGATACATAATACATTTTACATATTTATTTTGTTTACTTTGTGTTTCCCCAACTAGATCATCACCTCCACAAGCAGGGATATTCTCTTTTGTTGACTGCTTATATCCCCAGTGCCAGTCATAGTTCCTGGCATATAACAGACACTGTATTTATTGGTTGATTGAATGAATGAAGGTTATATCAGTGAATTAAAGATGTTACATAGCTTTGCATGTTGCTACGTGTTTACTGTAAATAGGTTGTAAATGCTGTTCACAATATTTCTGTGTCTTATTTCTGTAGAGCCATGGAAGAAATTTCTTTCCATCTCAACCCTAGGAAAAGCTATGCTTCCTCCACGTGGCTAGTTGCTTCTTATCTTAAGGACAGCGTGAATCATGTTATATGGATCATTGTGTGCACCTCTACATTAGCCATGAGAGAGTTCAGAGCCTTGCTCTGTGGCCTGCCTCAAGCAAATGATGATTATGCATTCTGCATGCCAACCAAATTCTTTTTTTTTTTTTTTTTTTGCATGCTGCCTTCAAGCATCTGTTTAACAAAGCACATCTTGCACCGCCCTTAATCCATTTAACCCTGAGTTGACACAGCACATGTTTCAGAGAGCACGGGGTTGGGGGTAAGGTTATAGATTAACAGCATCCCAAGGCAGAAGAATTTTTCTTAGTACAGAACAAAATGGAGTCTCCTATGTCTACTTCTTTCTACACAGACACAGTAACAATCTGATCTCTCTTTCTTTTCCCCACATTTCCCCCTTTTCTATTCAACAAAACCGCCATCGTTCTCGTGGCCGTTCTCAATGAGCTGTTGGGTACACCTCCCAGACGGGGTGGCGGCTGGGCAGAGGGACTTCTCACTTCCCAGACGTGGCAGCCGGGCAGAGGGGCCCACCACCCCCCAGACGGGGCGGCTGCCAGGCGGGGGCACCCCCCACCTCCCGGACAGGGCGGCTGCCGGGCGGGGGCGCCCCCCACCTCCCAGACGGGGCGGCTGCCGGGCGGGGGCGCCCCCCACCTCTCGGACGGGGCGTCTGGGCAGAGGGGCTCCTCACTTCTTGGATGGGGCGGCCGGGCAGAGGCGCTCCTCAGTTCCCAGACGGGGTCGCGGCCGGGCAGAGGCGCTCCTCACCTCTCAGACAGGGTGGCGGCCGGGCAGAGGCGCTCCCCACATCCCAGACGATGGGCGGCCAGGCAGAGACGCTCCTCACTTCCTAGACGGGATGACGGCCAGGAAGAGGCACTCCTCACTTCCCAGACTGGGTGGCTGGGCAGAGGGGCTCCTCACATCCCAGACGATGGGCGGCCAGGCAGAGACGCTCCTCACTTCCTAGACGGGGTGGTGGCCGGGAAGAGGCGCTCCTCACTTCCCAGACTGGGCGGCCGGGCAGAGGGGCTCCTCACATCCCAGACGATGGGCAGCCAGGCAGAGACGCTCCTCACTTCCTAGACAGGGTGGCGGCCGGGCAGAGGCTGCAATCTCAGCACTTCGGGAGGCCAAGGCAGGTGGCTGGGAGGTGGGGGTTGTAGCGAGCCGAGATCACGCCACTGCACTCCAGCCTGGGCAACATTGAGCACTGAGTGAGCGAGACTCCGTCTGCAATCCCGGCACCTCGGGAGGCCGAGGCGGGCAGATCACTCGAGGTCAGGAGCTGGAGACCAGCCCGGCCAACATGGCGAAACCCCGTCTCCACCAAAAAACACAAAAACCAGTCAGGCGTGGCGGCGCGTGCCTGCAATCCCAGGCACTCGGCAGGCTGAGGCAGGAGAATCAGGCAGGAAGGTTGCAGTGAGCCGAGATCGCGGCAGTACAGTCCAGCCTCGGCAACAGAGGGAGACCGTGGAAAGTGGGAGACGGAGACGAGGGAGAGGGGGAGACCGTGGAAAGCGGGAGACGGAGATGAAGGAGAGGGAGAGCGCCAACCAAATTCTTAACTTCATTTATCTTTTCTACCTTAATGTTTTTTTATTATTTTTAATTTTTTTAATTTTTATTTATTTATTTATTTTGAAATGGAGTCTCATTCTGTTGCCCCGGCTGGAGTACAGTGGTGCAATCTCGGCTGACTGCAACCTCCGCCTACCAGGTTCAAGCAATTCTCCTGCCTCAGCCTCCCGAGTAGCTGGGATTACAGGCATGTGCCACCACGCCCAGCTAATTTTTTTGTGTTTTTAGTAGAGACGGGGTTTCACCATGTTGGCCAGGCTGGTCTTGAACTCCTGACCTCAAATGATATGTCCGCCTTGGCCTCCCAAAGTGCTGGGGTTATAGGCATGAACCACCGCGCCCAGCCAATTTTTTAATTTATCCAGTTTTCTCCAGTATTTATTTAAAGTTATATTTCTTTTTCTGGTATGATTTTTCCAGCTACATTACATGGATTTTTTTTCCATAATCAAGCAGGATATTAAAAAATGAATTTTATAAATAGAATTAAGTGCTATATCTCAACTTTGCGTTCAGCTTATTTTTATTTTTTATTTTATGTATGTATGTATGTATGTATTTATGTATTTATTTATTTATTTTGAAATGGAGTCTCACTCTCGTCACCCAGGCTGGAGTGCAGTGGCACGATCTCAGCTTACTACAACCTGCACCTCCCAGGTTCAAGCGATTCTCCTTCCTCAACCTCCTGAGTAGCTGGGATTACAGGTGCCCACCACCACACCTGGCTGATTTTCATACTTTTAGTAGAGATGGGGTTTTGCCATGTTGGCCAGGCAGGCTGGTCTCGAATCCCTGACCTCAGGTGATCCACCCGCCTCAGCCTCCCAAAGTGCTGGGATTACTGGCATGAGCCACTGCACCTGGCCACATTCAGCTTTTTTACTTAGCAGAATAGCACATTATAAATTCCTTAGATACTTGATTTTTAATGGTTGTGTTCATAGACTGGCTGTAGGATAATTCCTTTTACTACTGTCATGCAATTATTTCCAAAGCGCGGTCCTTAGACCACCGCTGGGTCTATACCCCAAAGAAAGGAAATCAGTATATGGAAGCGATATCTGCACTCCCTTGTTTGTTGCGACACTCTTCACCATAGCCAAGGTTTGGAAGCAGCCTAAGTGTCCACCAACAGATGAATGGATAAAGAAAATGTGGTTCTTATACACAATGAAGTACTATTCAGCCATAAAAGGAATGAGATCCTGTCATTTGCAACAACATGGATGGAACTGGAGGTCATTATGCTAAGTGAAATGTGCCAGGCATAGAAAGACAAACATCACATGTTTTCACATATTGTGGGACCTGAAAATCAAAACAGTTTAACTCATGGAGATAGAGAATGGAAGGATAGTTATCAGAGGCTGGGAAGGGTCGTGGCAGGATTGGGGAGAGGTGGGCATGGTTAATAGGTACCAAAAACATTGTTAGAATGAATAAGACCTAATATTTTATAGCACAACAGGGTGACTATTGTGCATTAGTAATTTTTAAATAATATTAAAATTTTAATACATTTTTATTTAGTAATATTAAATGTACGTTTATTGGCCAGCTGCAGTGGCTCAGGCCTGTAATTTGGGAAGCTGAGGTGGGTGGATCACTTGAGGTCAGGAGTTTGAGACCAGCCTGGCCAACACAGCGAAACCCCATCTCTACTAAAGATACAAAAATCAGCTGGGTGTGGTGGCTCACACCTGTAATTCCAGCTACTCGGGAGGCTGAGGCAGGAGAATCGCTTGAACCGGGGAGGCAGAGGTTGCAGTGAGCTGAGATTGTGCCATTGCACTCCAGCCTGAGTGAAAAGGGCAAAACTCTGTTTCAAAAAAAAAAATTATTAAAATAACTAAAAGAATATAATTGGACTGTTTATAACACAAAGGATAAATGCTTGAGGGGGTGGATACTCCATTTTACATGATGTGATTACTATGCATTGCATGCCTGTATCAAAACATCTGTATACCCCACAAATATATAGACCTACTATGTACTCCCAAAAATTAAAATTAAAAAATAAAAATAAAAACAGTGCTGGAATTAACATCTTTATGCACAAAGCTTTTTCGTTTTTCAGATTGTTTCCTTAGGTTAGCATTTCCCTATTTCTTAATAACACCATCTACTGACTATACTGTGTCTACCTGTGTTAAATATGAACCCTACAGAGATCCACAGGCTGATTGTGACCCTTAAACTTCTTGAGTTGAGAGTAGAATTGGGATTACTTCTCAACAACTCAAATCGAAGGCACTAAATGCACGTGTATTCTAATGACATTTTTCTTTTTCTTTCTCAAGCTTCCACTGCGATTCCAAAGACTTGGACACCTAGTGGCTCTGATGGCACTGCTCTGTGGGGACCCACAGGAAAAGGTGGCTGAGGAGGCTGCAGAGGGCATTCACTCCCTGCTGCATATCACCCTGAGGCTGAAGTGTAAGGCACTGCTGAAGGCCGCGAGGTCCTGAGTGAATTCTCCAGCACAACATAAGTACCTGCCCTCCTTACGCATTCAGTCCCCATGTTCTGGAAAGGCCTTTTACAGTAGTTCCTAAAGAGAAGGATACATGGTCCATAGGCAGAGATGAAGCAACACTGACTTAATAATTAGAATCCTAACACTAGATCAGACCCATCATTGCCATCCATCTGCATAGCCAGGGAGTGGCTAAACATGTGGCCCTGTGGACAAACTAGAGTGATTAGTTTGGTCAGAAGTAGGAGTGAGGCTGGGCGCAGTGGCTCACTCCTATGTTCATAGCATTTTGCCAGGCCAAGCCGGGAGGACTGCGTGGGCCCAGGAGTTCAAGGCCAGCCTGGGCAACAGGGAAAACCCCTTCTCTACAGAAAATTTTAAAAATTAGCTGGCATGGTGGAGTATGCCTATAATCTCAACTACTCAGGAGACGAAAGTGGGAGAATCGCTTGAGCCCAGGAGGTCGAGGCTGCAGGAAAATTAATGTCCTTATGAAGGGAAATTACAGGGGCCATGAGTAAGAATCAAATCTAGTTGCTGGGTTCAGGAAAGGTAATCCAGAGAATAAAGAGCAGTTTGCCACCTGAAGAGGTAAGAAGAGTATATTAGGCAGAAGGAATGGCTAAGGAAAGGAACCTGGGTAGGCATGAGCTTGAGGAGTTTGAAAAATAGAGAGAGGGCCAGTGTGGTCAAGGAATGAATCACTGACTTCCATGGTTAGAAGGGACTTTAGAGGATATCTAACCCAGCATTCCCCCAGTGTTTGAATCTCAGTCTACTCCATCCCTACCAAGTACAGTCATGCACCATATAATGACATTTCAGTCAACAACTGATCATGTATGGGTCACGTAAGATTAGAATGGAGCTGAAATTTTTCTTTTTATTTTATTTTATTTTATTTTGAGATGGAGTCTCGCTCTGTCACCCAGGCTGGAGTGCAGTGGTGTGATCTTGGCTCACTGCACCCTCCACCTCCCAGGTTCAAGCAGTTCTCGTGCCTCAGCCTCCTGAGTAGCTGGGATTACAGGCAGCCGCCACCACACCCAGCCAATTTTTGTATTTTTAGTAGAGATGGGGTTTCACCATCCCTACTAAATGTTACTTAATGTTGGCCAGGCTGGTCCCGAATTCCTGATCTCAAGTGATCTGCCCGCCTCAGCATCCCAAAGTGGTAGGATTACAGGCGTGAACCACCACGCCCAGCCTTATTATTTTTTTTTTTTAAGGAAGTCTCGACTTGGCACAGTGGCTCACACCTGTAATCCCAGCACTTTGGGAGGCCGAGGCGGGTGGATCACGATGTCAAGAGATTGAGACCATCCTGGCCAACCTGGTGAAACCCCGTCTCTACTAAAAATACAAAAATTAGCTGAGCGTGGTGGCATGCCTGTAGTCCCAGCTACTTGGGGTGCTGAGGCAGGAGAATCGCTTGAACCTGGGAGGCAGAGGTTGCAGTGAGCCAAGATCACACCACGGTACTCCAGCCTGGTGACAGAGCAAGACTCCATCTCAAAAAGAAAAAAAAAAAAGAAAGAAAAAAGAATAAAAAGAAACGAAGTCTCACTATGTTGCCCAGGCTGGTCTCCAACTCCTGAACTCAAGCAGTCCTCCTACCTCAGCCTCCTAAAGTGCAGGGACTACAGGTGTCCACCACCGTACCCAGCTGAGCTGAAAGTTTTCTATCACCTAGTGACATTGTAGCCATCATAACATTACAGTACAATGCATTATTCATGTTTGTGGTGATACTGGTGTAAACAAACCTACTGCACTGCCAGTCATATAAAAGTATAGCACCTACAATTAGGTACAGTATATATCCTTGGTAATGATAATAAATAACTATGTTACTGGTTCATTTATTTACTATACATTTTATCATTAGTTTAGCATGACTCCTTCTACTTATTAAAAAAACAGTTAGCTGTGAAACATCCCCAGGCAGGCCCTTCAGGAGGTATTCCTAAAGAAGGCATTGTTATCATAGGAGATGACAGTTCCATGCGTGTTATTGCCCTGAATACCTTCCAGTGGGGCAGGATGTGGAGATGGAAGACAGTGGTATTGATTATCCTGATCTTGTGTAGGCCTAGGCTAGTGTGTGTTTTTTGTCTTAGTTTTTAACAAAAACACTTTAGAATGTAAAAAAAAAAAAAATTAGGCCAGGCACAGTGGCTCATGCCTGTAATCCCAGCACTTTGGGAGGCCAAGGAGGGTCCATCACCTGAGGTCAGGAATTCAAGACCAGCCTGGCCAACAGGGCAAAACCCCATCTCTACTAAAAATACAAAAATTAGCCTGGCGTGATGGCGCGTGCCTATAGTCCCAGCTACCCAGGAGGCTGAGGCAGGAGAATCGCTTAAACGTGAGAGGTGGAGGTTGCAGTGAGCTGAGATCACGCCACTGCACTCCAGCCTGGGTGACAGAGTGAGAGACTCTGTCTTAAAAAAAAAAAAAGAAGGTACTCTCTATGTGATGTTCATGCAGTGACGCAATAGCCTAACAGTGCATTTCTCAAAACATATCCCTGTTGTTAAGCTACACACAACCGTAGTTCCTCTGCCTCAGTCTGCGCTTCACATGGATGAGGAAGCTCCATGCTTCCCAAAGCAACTGTCCTGTCATTGGGCACAGTATGAGCAATCTCTACCAGGTATACAGCCAAAGAAATACGTTGATTATTGATTCAGCAAATAGTTATGAAGCATTTATTGTTCTAGTGATGCATCAGTAATCAAGACAAACAAGATACCTTCCCCCAGGGAACTTATTTTCTAGTTGGAGAGAAAGTATCCTCAGCCAAGGGCTCAAAGATAAATTTTCCATCTACGAATTTCCAGCAAATATTAGGTCACAATGAAACATGAGAAAAACAAGACACTACAAGGAGCATTGGCATACTTGACACATGATGAAGAGTTCTGATATCAGAATTATCATACACAGTATAGAGTTGGGCAATTTTTTCTGGGAACCTAAGCTTCATAGGGAGACCCCTCACAGTTCCTCACCAGTGGGGAAATAAGGTAGCATGCTTTGGTTGTACTCACAAATCACTCAAATGCTCTGGTCTTACAAAAAGCTCTTTGCTTTTGCTTTTTTCTTCTTCTTCTTCTTTTTAAAGACAGGGTTGGCTGGGCATGGTGGCTCATGCCTGTAATCCCAGCACTGGGGGAGGCTGAGGTGGGTGGATCACCTGAGGTCAGGAGTTCGAGGCCAGTCTGAACCAAAATGGAGAAACCCCATCTCTACTAAAAATACAAAATTAGCTGGGCATGGTGGCGCATGCCTGTAATCCCAGCTACTCAGGAGGCTGAGGCAGGAGAATCACCTCCAGGAGGCAGAGGTTGCGGTGAGCTGAGATCGCGCCATTGCACTCCAGCCTGGGTGATAAGAGTGAAACTCTGCCTCAAAAAAAAAATTTAAAAAAGAAAAGACAGGGTCTTAACTCTGTCACCCAGGCTGGAGTGCAGTGGCGTGATCTCGGTTCACTGCAAGCTCCACCTCTTGGGTTCAAGTGATCCTCCCACCTCAGCCTCCCAAGTAGTTGGGACTACAGGAGTGCGCCACCATGCTTGGCTAATTTTTTTATTTTTCGGTATCGCCATGTTGGCCAGGTTTGTCTCGAAATCTTGACTTCAAGTGATCCATCTGCCTCGACCTCCTCTTTGTTTTTTCTTTTGGTTCTTTTTATGTATTGTTCTAGAAGGAAAGAGAAATAAATCAGCCTTCAGATGAACAAACACTCCCTCCCCCAGGCATTTTTGTTCAAGTGAAAAAGAAGAGTGAGATCTTGGAATCCACTTTAAACTGAAGATCAACCAGACCTGTAAAATCAAGAAGAAAAAAAGAAGCCAGAAAGTATTAATATTTTATATTTTCTTTTCAGATATCACTCATGACAAGAAAGATCAGCAAAACTTGAAAAGAGCATTGACAAAATGTCGAGAATTCCTGGAGCTCCACAGCTCTGCCGCTAAATGCTTCTACAACTGTCCCTTCAGAATTGCCCAGGTAATAAGAATGGCTAAAATTATAACCACAGCCAGAAGTGTTGGCAAGGATGGGGAACAACCAGAAGTCTCCTGCCATTTATTCATGGAAACGTAAAACAGTAAAAACCACTTTGGAAAAAGTTCTGGTAGTTTCTTATAAAACAAAACCATACACAATTGCCCAGGAAACGTGGTCTCTAAACGTTCCGTAGTTTGGAGACAAGGCACCATGTTCCTGGCCCATATATGCCTTGCCTTCTTAGTTTGGGGGTTAAGGTCAACCTGCCATTGAGGCCAGTATCCCTGGACTTCACTTCATACCAGCTCTGCTCCTACTATTCATAATTGCGAGTCTCTTGCAAATGTAAATGCTGGTCACAAAAAGGAGCTGCAAGAGAGTATGGTTGATCCAACAAGCCAGACTTTTTAAATTAATGTAGTTATTCATTATTCAATAAATACTTATACATCTGCCAGGTACCAGGTATGCTAGGGAATAGGGGAAAATAAAGAAAACCCACAGATCTTACTCATGTAGGGTGAAAGGTACCAAGTAATTTCATCTCTCTGCACATCAGTTTTCTCATCTGTGCGATGGAGATCTGTAAAAATTGGGACAGTTTTTACAATTTCTTTTTTACAATTTATACTGTTTACAATTCAGTCGTTGTTAAAGGAGATACCGTATGGAAAATGCTTTGCTAAATGCTTGTCACATAGTAAGTGCCCAGTAGATTGTACCTATTATAATCATGTGAAGGACTTTACTACCAAATGCAATGAGAAACAGAATGACACATTCTTTTAGTATGTTGTCTCCTGACAAGGCATTTTAATTATGCCTGGGAACCTGTCAGCTGTGTAACATTAGGGCCTTTTTTTAAGTCCTATCGTATAAAAGTATGACTCTTTCTGAAGATCTCATAATAAAGCTTCTTTCTTTTTCTTTTCTTTCCTTTTCTTTTTGTTTTGTTTTGTTTTGTTTTGTTTTGTTTTGTTTGGGGGGGCTGTTTCTTTGAGACAGAGTTTCGCTCTTGTTGCCCAGGCTGGAATGCAATGGCGCAATCTTGGCTCACTGCAACCTCCGCCTCCTGGGTTCAAGCAATTCTCCTGCCTCAGCCTCTTGAGTAGCTGGGATTATAGGCATGTGCCACTACACCCGGCTAATTTTGTATTTTTAGTAGAGATGGGGTTTCTCCATGTTGGTCAGGCTGATTTTGAACTCTGACCTCAGGTGATCCACCTGCCTTGGCCTCCCAACCAAAGTGGTGGGATTATAGACATGAGCCACATGCCAGGCTTCTTTTTTTTTTTTTTTTTTTTTTTTTTTTGAGACGGAGTCTTGCTCTGTCGCCCAGGCTGGAGTGTAGTGGCACGATCTCGTCTCACCGCAACCTCCGCCTCCCAGATTCAAGCAATTCTCCTCCCGCAGCCTCCCAGGTAGCTGGGATTACAGGCAAGCACCACCACGCCCAGCTAATTTTTGTATTTTTAGTAGAGACAGTGTTTCTCCATGTTGGCCAAGTGGCTAGTCTCAAGTCGTGGGCTCAAGTATTTCTCCCGCTTTAGGGTCCCAAACAACTGGTATTACAGGCATGAGCCACTGCACCTGGTCAATAAAGCTTCTTTCTAAATGTAAGAGCAGCAGGCTGGATGCAGTGGCTCACCCCTGTCATCCCAGCACTTTGGTTGGCTGAGGCGGAAGGATCACTTGAGCCTAGGATTCGAGACCATCCTGGGCAACATAGCGAGACCTCATCTCCACAAATAAAAAAATTAGCTGGCTGTGGTGGTGCACGCCTGTAGTCCTAGCTACTCAGGAAGCTGAAGTGGGAGGATGACTTCAGCCTGGGAGGTCCAGGCTGCAGTGAGCTGTGATCGCACCACTGCACTCCAGCCTCAGTGTCAGAGCAGCAAAAGGCCATGCACAGATGCTAGCAGTGGACATTTGGATTGCTTCCACCTTTTTACCATGGTAAACAAGACTGGGCTGGGTGCATGGCTTGCACCTATAATCCTGACACTTTGGGAGGCTGAGGCAGAAGGATTACTTGAGCCAAGAGTTCACAGCCAGCCTGGGCAACATAGTGAGACCCCTGACTTCACAAAAAATTTTAAAAATTATCAGAGTGTAGTAGCAGGTGCCTGTAGCCTCAGCTACTCAGAAGGCTGAGGCAGGAGGATCACTTGAGCCCAAGAGGTTGAGGCTACAGTGAGCCGTGATTGTGCCCCTACCTGGATGACAGAGTAAGATGCTATCTCCAAAAACAAAACAAAACCACAAGACTCAAATAAAACAGCCTTGTACATCTTTGTCCACTTCTCTGATTGTTAACTTAGACTCAAGTCCTTGTTCAGGACACTTTCTATCATACCATATTTCCCTATTTCTTGGAAGTTCATTTTCCTACATCATTTCAGGTCTTTGAAGGTTTTCTTGATTCAAATGAGCTCTGCCAGTTTATAATGACTACATTTGATACCCTGAAAACCCTGAAACATCCCTGCATCCAGCGATCAGCAGGAGAATTACTGCTAACTTTGGCAAAAAATACAGAGTCCCAATTTGAGAAGGTAAACTTTCAGTGGCAATTTCCTGGGTTCAAAAAGCCAGTAGAACCTCTTCATCCCTGCAGCTATTGAAGTCTCTGCTTGTCCTTCTCAGCTGAGAACGACTACTCATGAGTACAGGGTCAAACCTTAGTCTGTTTAGTCATAAATATCCACTCTATAAACATACACCAAACAACTACTGTGTATGTAACCAGGGAGGGAGACTTTTTTTTTTTTAATCTAAGATGTGGTCTATGACCAGGCACGGTGGCTCGCGCCTGTAATCCCAGCACTTTGGGAGGCTGAGGCGGGTGGATCATGAGGTCAAGAAATCGAGACCATCCTGGCCAACATGGTGAAACCCCGTCTCAACTAAAAATACAAAAAGTAGCTGGGCGTGGTGGCGCGTGCCTGTAGTCCCAGCTACTTGGGAGGCTGTGGCAGGAGAATCGCTTGAACCTTGGAGGTGGAGGTTGCAGTGAGCCAAGATCGCACCACTGCACTCCAGCCTGGGCGACAGGGCGAGACTCCATCTCAAAAAAAAAAAAAAAGATGCGGTCCATATTTTCTAGAAGAGTAGAGTTTTTCTGGGGAGATATAACTAACACATATGAGAATAACTTTAATTTAGATACTCATCCAGATGGGTTAAAGGTATCAAGATTTAAAAAGCTGTAAGTGGTCAGGCGCAGTGGCTCACGCCTGTAATCCCAGTACTTTGGGAGGCAAAGGTGGGCAGATGGCTTGAGCTCAAGAGTTTGAGACCAGCCTCGGCAACATAGCTTAACCCTGTCTCTACTTAAAATACAAAAATTAGCCAGGCATGGTGGTGCACACCTGCATTGCCAGCTATTTGGATGGCTGAGGCAAGAGAATTGCTTTAACCCAGGAAGCGGAGGCTGCAGTGAGCTGAGATCGCGTCACTGCCCTCCAGCTTGGGCGACAAGCTGCCTCAAAATAAATAAATAAAAGTAAATAAAAAGCCATAAGTGACCCTAGAAGGAGGCAGACTTACAAATCAAAATTAAGAGAATTTATCTAAATATATCTAAAATTAATACATTAAGAAATAACTATATAGTTATGTTATTTAGAAATAGAGAAGGACATGCTGGAAGAGACAAAAGGGATAAAAGTAGTTCTCTCTGAAGAACAGACCTGGGGAATAGGGAGGAAAGAAGCTTGAAATACCACTGGATGTTGTAGTTGGGTACAAATAAAAAATAATTTAAGAATGATGAGAACCGGCCAGGTATGGTGGCTCACACTTATAATCCCAGCACTTTGGGAGGTTGAGGCAGGCAAATTGCTTGGGCCCAGGAGTTCAAGACCAGCCTGGGCAACATAGTGAGACCCCATCTCTACAAAAAAATTTTTTTAAATTAGCCAGGCATGGTGGCACACACCTGTGTTCCCAGCTACTTGGGAAGCTGAGGCAGGAGGGTTGCTTGAGCCCAGTAAGACAAGGCTGCAGGGAGCCATGATCATGCCTTTACATTCCAGCCTGGGCGACAGAGGGAGATCTTGTCTCAAAAAACAACAACAAATAAAACAAATTAAAAACAACAACAACAAATGATGAGCACCCTTTTTTTAACCTATTAAAATAACAAAGATGCAAAAAGAATAACACGATAAGAGCAGGTGAGATGGGCATTTGTATCAGTTGGGTGCTTTTAGCAGCAAAAAAAGCCCAGCAGGTAGAAGTTTAACCAAAGGATTTATTCTTTCACATAATAACAAGTCTGGACATAGAGTATTTTCCAAGATTGATTCAGTGATTCAACAGTGTTATTGAAGACCCAGGGGTTTCTTCATCCTTCTGCCTTGTCTGTTCATGTGGTCATAAGGTAGTCAGAGCAATTTTGGACTTTCTGAGTGGAGTAGACTAAGTCCAAGAAGAAGAAAGATGTTGCCTTCCTTTTTATGTCTTGATTCAGGGAAGAAAATCTTTCCGCAAAACGCCGGTAAATTTACCCTTGTGTTTGTTAGCCAGAATTATTATCATTATTATTATTATTATTATTATTTTGTTTATTTGTTTTTGGAGACAGCATTTTGCTCTGTTGCTCAGGCTTGAGTGCAGTGGTGCAGTCTTGCTCCCTGCAACCTCCGCCTCCCAGGTTGCTGTGATTCTTCCACCTCAGCCTCCCAAGTAGATGGGATTACAGGCGCCTGCCATGACACCAAGCTAATTTTTTGTATTTTTAGCAGAGATGGGGTTTCACCATGTTGGCAAGGCAGGTCTTGAACTCCTGACCTCAAGTGATCCGCCTGCCGCAGCCTCCCAAAGTGCTGGGATTACTGCTATGAGCCACCATGCCCAGCCTACTGGTGCTGATGATGGCCATTTTATATTAAGTGGTTGAGGTGTGCCTCTCTGAGAAGCTGACATTTCCACAGAGACAGGAACCCATGCGTCTGTGGGTGGGAAGAGCGGTCCAAGCAGAGAAATAGACCAAAGCCCAGTGGCTCCTATTTCCCTTACCTAAGCCTGATGGACATCTCTGGAAAGAAGATAGGTAAGGACTCCACTGCCATTCTCAGAGTCACAGTGGAAAAAAGCCCAGCTTCCTTGCAACACTTTTATTAGTTTGTCTTGTTATAAAATCAATACATCAATTATTGAGGAAAAATTAGAAAAAATATAGAAGCAAAAAAATCTAATACTCTGTCCCTCAAAAACACAGTATTGACAGCTTTGATTATAAATCTTTCCAAATCCTTCATATGTGTATACACACATACAGATATATTTTAAGTAGTTTTAATCATAAACTTCAAAAAATAATAAACAGTTTGTTTAAAAGTCACCCCCTAGGGGTCAGGCGCAGTGGCTTATACCTGTAATTCCAGCACTTTGGGAGGCCAAGCAGGAGGATCGCTTGAGCCCAGGAATTCAAGACCAGTCTGGGCAACATAGAGAGATCTTGTCTCTACAAAAAAATACAACAATGACCTGGGTGTGGTGGTGTGTGCCTGTAGTCCCAGCTACTCAGGAGGCTGAGGTGGGAGGATCATTTGAGGCCAGGGGTTCAAGGCTGCAGTGAGCTATGTTTGCACCGCTGCATTCCAGGCTGGGCAACAGAGCAAGACCCTGTCTTTAAAAAAAAGTCACCCCCCCAAGACCTTTCAGAAATGGCCACAGTATCCTCAGTAACCATCAGTGTCCTATAGGATTACAGTCTTAGTAATTTCTTTTTCCTCTTCAGGTGCCAGAAATTATGGGAGTTATCTGTGCCCAGTTATCCATAATCAGCCAGCCTAGAGTCCGCCAACAAATCATAAATACCGTGAGTTTATTTATATCCAGACCCAAGTACACAGATATAGTGCTCAGCTTCCTTCTGTGTCATCCAGTGCCGTATAACAGGTAACAGAACCCCGTACAGCCTCTGGATTAAATTGGATTATGTGACACAGCTCTGGGTATTGTGAAACATGGTTGCCCTCAAAAATCTAATGATTGTCTTGTGGAGAAGACACAGTATACATAAAGCTGGTGATATAAATCAGAACATAATGCATAATCATCAGAAAAGAATCCCACAAATCCCAAATGAAGAACATTCTGTAAGATAATTGAACTGGACTCTTCAAAAAAATTAACATCATGGAAGTAAAACTGGTGGTGAGGGAACTGTCCTAGATAAAAAGATATTCAAAAACATACCCAAACGCACTGCGTGACCTTGATTGGATCCTGGTTCAAAAACAAAAGCTATAAAAGAAAGCTTGGAGAAAATTTAAATATGGACTCTATACTAGAATATTAAATTGGTGTAATTTTCTGGCTAGGCACAATGGCTGACACCTGTAATTCCAGCACTTTGGGAGGCAGAAGTGGGCAGATTACTTAAGGCCAGGAGTTCAAGACCAGCCTGGCCAACATGGTGAAACCTCATCTCTACTAAAAATACAAAATTTACCCCCGGGCATGGTGGCAGATGCCTCTAATCCCAGCTACTTGGGAGGCTGAGGCAGGAGAATCTCTTGAACCCAGGAGGAGGAGGTTATAATGAGCCAAGATCACACCACTGCACTCCAGCCTGGGTGACAGAGTAAGACTCTGTCTCAGACAAACAAACAAAAAAAATTAGTGTAATTTTCTTAGGTGTGAAATACTGTGGTTATGCAGAAGGATGTCCTTATTCTTAAGAGATAAGATACTAAAGTTATTTAGAGGTAAAGTGTCATAATGTCTGCAACTGACTTGAGAATGATTTTGCCTAAAAATAAGGCAATAAATATATACATTTAAAAAGTAGATACGCATACATAAAGAAGAATGGAATCAGAGAGAGGATC
This sequence comes from Homo sapiens, assembly GCF_000001405.40. NCBI lineage: Eukaryota > Metazoa > Chordata > Mammalia > Primates > Hominidae > Homo > Homo sapiens. Next base: position 46,347 of record NW_025791812.1, on the reverse strand, counting down.
AAACAGGATGGGTTTTTTGTTTATTTTTGTGGGTACATAGTAGGTGTAAAGACGGTTTTTTCGATTAGTGTTTTTCACATTTGGAGGCACCCTGGAAAGTTCCACAAAGATGCCTACGGATGGGGCAGGAAGGCTTCAGAATAAAGTTCCATGCCCCCACCCCACTTTAACCAGAGCAGCGCTTCTTTTTATCTGCTTTCTCTATTGTGATTCTGGGCAATTATTTTATTTAAGAAGAGATTTCCCTGCTTTAAACTATTTGAAAAATATTCTTTTAAGTGAATGGTTCTCACATAATATCTTGATGTAGTGCTTATTGTGTTCTCTAAACTGAACTAAATCAAATAATGGAAGACTTTTACCCATTCAGAGAAAAAAAAGAATGCGGATTTTTTTAAAAGCTGGGCGTGGTGGCACGCGCCTGTAGTCCTAGCTACTCAGGAGGCTGAGGCAGGAGAATCACTGGAGGCCAGGAGTTTGGGGCCATCGTATATGATGATTGGACTTGTGAATAGCCACTGCACTCCAGCTTGGAGTAACAGTCTTACTTTTTTTTTTTTTTTAAAGACAGTTTCTCAATCATGGCTCACTGCAGCCTTGAACTCCTGGGCTCAAGTGATCTTCCCACCTCAGCTGCCTGAGTAGCTGAGACTATAGGTGTGTACCACCACACTCAAGCTTTTTAAATTTTTTAAAATTTTTTGAGCTTGCTTTTGTATATTTCTCTAACAAATTGTTCTTAAATGTTTGGTACTTGCTACAGCTTATCCGTACTCAACTCTTATATAAAAATTAATCTTTCAGAGGCCAAAGGGGGTGGATCACCCAAGGTCAGGAGTTCCAGACCAGCCTGGCCAACATGGTGAAACCCCATCTGTATTAAAAAAATACAAAAATTAGCCTGGCATGGTGATGCGCACCTGTAATCACAGCTACTTGGGAGGCTGAGGCAGGAGAATCTCTTGAACCTGGGAGGCGGAGGTTGCAGTGAGCCGAGATCGCGCCACTGCACTCCAGCCTGGGAGACAAAGCAAGACTCTGTCTCAAATTAAATAAATAAATAAATAAATCTAAGTACAAAATACTAAATATATTTAGTTTTGTTTTTTGTGGGGTTTTTAAAGACAGGGTCTTTCTCTGTCACCCAGGCTGCAGTGTAGTGACACAGTCATAGTTCACTGCAGCCTCGACCTTCCAGGCTCAAGCAGTCTTCCCACCTCAGCCACTGGAGCAACTGGGACTACAGGCCCACACCACCTGGCCCAGCTAAATTTTTTATTTTTTGTGGTTTCTCAATGTTATCCAGGCTGGTCTCGAACTTCTGGGCTCAAGTGATCCACCTGCCTCAGCTTCCCAAAGTGCTAGGATGACAGACATGAGCCACCGTGTGCTGCCCTATTTAATTATTTTAAGTATGCTTTTAGCATTATTCTCTTGTTTGTATTTGTTCTACCTCTGGGAGGACTTTGAGAACTGCTGTAGATCATACGCAAACTATGGAATCTTTTAGAAATTTAACTGACTTATTCAGGAAATGTTATTATTATTATTATTATTAATTTTTTTTGAGACAGAGTCTTGCTCTGTCACCCAGGCTGGAGTGCAGTGGCGCGAACTCGGCTCACTGCAAGCTCCGCCTCCCGGGTTCACGCCATTCTCCTGGCTTAGCCTCCCAAGTAGCTGGGACTACAGGCACCCGCCACCACCCAGCTAATTTTTTGTATTTTTAGTAGAGATGGGGTTTCACCGTGGTCTCAATCTCCTGACCTCGTGATCCGCCCGCCTCGGCCTCCCAGAGTGCTGGGATTACAGTATTTTTAGTAGAGAGGGGGTTTCACCGTGGTCTCAATCTCCTGACCTCGTGATCTGCCCGCCTCAGCCTCCCAAAGTGCTGGGATTACAGGCATGAGCCACCGCGCCCGGCCAGGAAATGTTATTCTGATTATATTTTTGTCATTTACCTGAAGTTCATTATGTCACAGGGGAGCAAGGACTGGGCTGGTGGCGCTGGGGTAAAAGAATTTACCAAGACAGTTGTGGGTAGAGGAAGGCAGATTTATTAGAGAAAGTAGGAAAATAATGGCGCCAGAGAGACAACAGACAGCCTGCAAAAGAGAAGCGGACTGCCAGGAGACAAAGACTTGTTGAAGATTTTACAGCATAGTGTTCATGCTGCGTGTTGAAGAGGGCCTTGTGCAGTATAGATAATGCCAAGTTGCAATGAGCTAATTTGCAGGTGTCTGGTGATAGTTGGGCACAGGAAGATGGGGAGTTGATTGCACAGAAGGGCCGTGTCCTGGACCATGAAGAAAGGCAGACTTACAGCTTATCTGCTTTTTCTTTTTGCTTTCCCTTGCTCCCGCCAGCCTGGCTTCCTTCCCCTAATTAGGACTCCACACGTTAGTGGGTTTACATATAGATTGGAGTGGTTGTTCTTAGGAGGCTGCCTAAAGCATCAACTATGTGCAAGGTGCTATTAGGACCCATAAGTAATGGACAGGACATGCACCCCGCCCTTAAGCAGCACAGTCTGGTAGCCCCATAGATGCATAAGTATTCTAAAGCTAAGTAGGGAGTTCTGTGGAAGCCCCTAGGTCAGGACTTAATTAAATGAAGGGTCAGGAAGTGATTTCTGAAAGCAGAGCTGCCCCCAAGCTGATGAATGCTAAGAGCCAGATGCAGATCAAAGTGGCTGGAGAGGAAAGTAGATAGTAAGAAGGGCTCAGATACCAGGGATCTTTTTGCAGTGATGGAAATGTTCTAAAATTGGATCGTCGTCATGGTTGCACAACTTTGTAAATTTACTAAAAGTCAGTGAGTTGTATACTTAAGACAGTATTCACTAATTATTTTTTCATTTTCTATAGTAATATAATCCCTGAACTTTAGTTGGGTATTTGAAATACTCTTATTTCCTAGACTTTTTGCATATAGGTGTGACTATTTGTCTAAATTCTGGATGCAAATTGAAGTAGTACATGCAACCTATGGCAAATAACCTTAAAGGGAGAGAGTAGGCTCATCATCTTTCTTCTTCCTGCCACCTGGAAAGTGATGTGATGGCTAGAGCTGAAGCATGTTGGCCAGGATGGTCTCAATCTCCTGACCTCATGATCCGCCCGCTTTGGCCTCCCAAAGTGCTGGGATTTCAGGCGTAAGCTACCACGCCCAGCTACTAAAGCTGCTTTTAAAAAGTGGTCAGAAGTTAGCAGCGATAGATTGGGACCAACTAAGAACTACAATAGTGGACTTTATACTACAGGAGTTGGGAAGCCACTGAAGAACTTTAGTTAAGGGACTTACATCATCAGATGCAGATTTTTAGTGTGACTCTGATGGAAATGGATTAGAGGCTGTTCTACCAAACAGGAAGAGAGACAGGCAGTTAAGCAGTTGCACCTTTTCCAGGCAAAAGATGATGATGCCCTGATTAGGGCAGTGGCTTCAGAGATGGAGAGGAGGAGGGAGTAAAGAAACAGGAGCATTGGCCAGACACGGTGGCTCACGCCTGTAATCCTAGGACTTTGGGAGGCCAAGGCAGGTGGATCGCCTGAGGTCAGGAGTTCGAGACCATTCTGGCCAACATGGCGAACCCCATCTCTCCTAAAAATACAAAAATTAGCCGGGCTTGGTGGCATGTGCCTGTAATCCCAGCCACTCTGCAGGCTGAGGCAGGAGAATTGGCTTGAACAGTGAGCCAGGATCACACGACTTCACTCCAGCCTGGGCAACAGAGCAAAACTCCATTTCAAAAAAAGAAAAAGAAAAAAAGAAATAGGAGCATCTGTAGGCAGACCTTGATTGAATCAGAAAGGAATGGCAGGGAGGAAGAAGGCATTCAGGCTAACTCCCCACTCCTCAGTTTTTGGCTTTGGAGGCCAAGTTAATGGTGGTATCATTTACTGACACAGGAATTACACTACATTTTCACCACTGACTGTTTCTCTATGGGACATGAAATACTTTAAGAAACTCAGTTCACTAATGCAGGACCAAAGAAGTCATAGAGTACATATGTGACATGTGTCCCTCATACTACCCTGGTGCAGTGCTCTGTCCCAGTACTCCACCAGAAAAGACAAGAGGCTGTTTCTCTTTCTATTCTGTAAGGATGCTACAGCAAGATATTTGTTCTTAAAGATGTAGGCTTCTTCAGTCTCCTAGTGCAGTGTTTGTTAAAGTGTCTGAAACACTGCCTCAGAATCCCCTATGATGCTTGTTAAAAAAAAAATGTATCTTCTGGCTAGGTGTGGTGGCTCATACCTGTAATCCTAGCACTTTAGGAGGTTGAGACGGGTGGATGGCTTGAGCCCAATAGTTCAAGACCAGCCTGAGCAATATGGTGAAACCCTGTCTCTACAGAAAGTGCAAAATTTGCCAGTTGTGGTGGCACACGCCTATAGTTCCAAATACTCAGGAGGCTGAGGTGGGAGAATTTACCTGAGCCCAGGAAATTGAGACTGCAGTGAGCTGTGATCACACCACTGCACTCCAGCCTGAGCATCAGAGTAAAACCCTGTCTCAAAGAAGAAAAGCATTTTCCAAGACCCTACATCACACATACTATATTAGTCAGGACTCTTGGTTGGAAGTAGCAGAAACTGAGCTCACACTACCTTAAGAAATTGTATAGGCTTATATTACAGCAAAGTCCAAGGGTCTGTCGTCAGGATTGAATCCCGAGACTCAGTTTATTTCATCAGGGCTCCATTCATCTCTCAGATGGACTTGCACTAAAGGTGGCAAAGATGGTTACTATCAGCTCAAAACTGCAGTGGAAAGGGTGTGTCATTTCCTTTTAAGCTTTTTAGTCCTGGGCAGGACTCTGATTAGCCTGGCTTGGAGTCAGCTCCCACCAAACTACACGAACCAAATAGGATTGTTAAGGATCTTGAAAAGGTGGTTTCCCAAAGGGATGATGGGCAAACAAAACCCATGTCACAACTACAGACAGAATCAGAATCACTGGAGGTGGGAAGATTTTTTCCATATTTTAAACAAACTCTCCAGATGTTTCTCACACTGAAATTCATGAACCATTGGCTTAAAGGCTGTGCGCTTTCTAAATTCAGATGCATTTTCAGCACACTTAAAATGTGTGGCAAACTAAAAGCATTTTGCAACACTTCTCTCACAATAAACAGCTTCTCAAAGTACTTCATTTACTCCCTCAGGAATCCAAAGAAAATAACCGAGGGTAAGTAAATATGAGAATTTCTTTATGTCATCCCAGATGAATGTTCCTATTCTGCCGTCTCATCATTCTGCAGCTGTGAGTTTTTTCAGCATCCTATATTGCCTTTCTGGCCTTTTCTTTAGGAGTTCTTTAGGACCTTCTTACTTTGTTTTATTCACAAATTAGAATCACTGAGGTGAGGAGTGAAATGTTGGGATAGTCTTTAAGCCTCTCAAGTTTTAGGATGAGTCTCACAGTTGAAAGACCACACTTTTTTTCTTTTTTTTCTTTTCTTTTCTTTTTTCCTTTTTTTTCCCCCCGAGACAGTCTCACCCTGCCACCCAGGCTGGAGTGCAGTGGTATGATTTTGGCTCACCTCAGTCTCTGCCTTCTGGGTTCAAATGATCCTCCCACCTCAGCCTCCTGAGTAGCTGGGACTACAGGCACACACCACAACACCTGGCTAATTTTGCATTTTTTGTAGAGACAGGGTTTTGCCATGTTTCCCAGGCTGGTCTTGAACTCCTGGGCTCAAGCAGTCCTCCCATCTCAGCCTTCCAAAGTGCTGGGATTACAGGTGCTGCGATTACAAGCTACTGGGATTGCAGTTGCTGGAATTACAGAGTGTTAGGATTACAAAGTGCTGGGATTACAGGATTATAGGCCACCACGTCTGGCCTGGAAGATCACACTTTAAAAACTTACTCTAGCATACCAAGATGCCTAAATGGATTCTGAAAATAAAAGAATGGATTAAAAGCATGAGTAACTCCCAATTTTCTTCCCACTGTAATGTTCTCCCACAATGTTTATGTAACTCTCAGGCCCTACATTTGAATCAATGACAGAGAAGTTATTACATATTATTTTTCTTTAGAAGATATCTCTTCTAGGCAGGATCAAAGCTTTATTTCAAGGATTAACTTTAGCCAAAATTTGAGGACCACAGACCACATCGAATATATGTGTCTATAATTTAACCTTCTATGAACCTGGCATTGTGCAAGTCCCTGAGGAATTCCTAGAAGAAGAGCCAGAAAGAATCCTTTCCTTCAGAGCGAACAGATACACACATAAAGAACTGATGATAGCACACATAAGATTGAAGTGACCTCTAAGAAGAAGAAACTTTTTAAGTGCTATGAGAACTCTTACGAAAGACATGGTGAAGAAGCAACCAAGGCTTCCTAGGAGACATGACACTGGAGCTGGACCTTGAAGGATTTTGATGGGCAGAGAAGAGTTTTGGAAAGGGCCTTCCAGTTTAAGAAAGTGACATAAGGGTCGGGTACAGTGGCTCATGCCTGTAATCCCAGCACTTTGGAAGGCCGAGGTGGGTAGATCGCTTGAGCCTAGGAGTTCAAGACCAGCCTGGGCAACATGGCGAGACCCCATCTTTACAAAAACAAATTTAAAAATTAGCCAGGTGTGGTGGCACATGCTTGTGGTCCCAGCTATTCGGGTGGCTGAGGCAGGAGGATTGCTTGAGCTCAGGAGTTCAAGGCTGCAGTGAGCTGTGTATGGCACCACTGCACTCCAGCCTGGGTGACGGAGTGAGACCCTGTCTAAAAAAAAAGGACAGTGACATAAGCAAAGGTATAGGGTTTTCAAAGTCTGTGTTTTCTTAGGTAAAGGTGAATGGTCTGAATGGTCTGGATGGTTTGAGCACAGAGTGTGTGATGGGGAAGAGATGAGGCCAAAAAGTTAAGTCAGGACCAGGTTATGAATAGCCTTGAAGTCCACGCTGAGGCAATGGGAACTTGATTCGATAAAACCTGGGGACTTCAGGGGTGGGGGGCAAGGGGAGGGAGACCAATAGGACAAATACCTAATGCGTGTGGGCTTAAAACCTAGATGACGGGTTGAGAGGTGCAACAAACCACCATGGCACATGGATACCTATGTAACAAACCTGCACATTCTGCACATGTATCCTGGAACTTAAAGTAAAATTTTAAAAATCGGCTGGGTGCAGTGGCTCACGCCTGTAATCCCAGCACTTTGGGAGGCCAGGGCGGGCAGATCACTTGAGGTCGGGAGTTCGAGACCAGCCTGGCTAACATGGCGACACCCTGGCTCTACTAAAAATACAAAAATTAGCCGGGCGTGGTGGCGGGCACCTGTAATCCCAGCTACTCAGGAGACTGAAGCAAGGGAATTGATTGAACCCAGGAGACAGAGGTTGCAATGAGCCAAGATCACGCCACTGACTCCAGCCTGAGTGACAGAGCAAGACACCGTGTCAAAATAATAATAATAATAATAAAATTTAAAAAATAAATAAGTAAATAAAAGAAAATATGGAGCAATAGGAATCCTACTCTGCTTGTTGGCAAATAAATGGATACAACCACCTTTTTTTTTTTTTTTTGAGACAGGGTCTCACAAAAAGGAAAAAAATAAACCTGGGGAGTTACTGTTATGAAATCAAAGTCAGTCTTTTGACACCCTGAAGAGCTGAGTAGAGAGGAGAACCTCTTGTAGATTGCATTGGAATCAGCCATTCTCCTCTTGCTCTTTGGGATTTCCAGGCACCTGGCTGAGGTGTGGAGAATGCTGTCGGTGGAGCTTCCCAGCACGACCTGGATTCTGTGGAGGCTCCTGAGGAAGCTGCAGAAATGCCATAATGAGCCTGCACAGGAGAAGATGGCATATGTGGCTGTGGCTGTAAGCCCTTGAGCTTTGCCCCTCTAATGTCAGCCCCTCCCAGGATGACTGACCCCACACCCCAGTGGAGAGTGTTCCTTTTGGTCCCTCTCAAAGCCTGCATCTGTCATCCATTTATAAGTCTACAGTGTTTCTGCCAAGGGATTGACATGGAGGGAGCTGGGGAGAGTGAAGGAGTCAGAATGCCTTAATACAAACTCGTCCAACCTGCCTTTTTTTGTTTTTGTTGTTCTGTTCTGTTTTGTTTTAGGCTTTTAGAAGCCTGAAGCCATGGTATTTAGTTTCTGTCTCTAGTGATAAGCGGAAAAGAGGTATGAGGAAGGGGCTTTATTGACCCAACCAGAAACAGAAACTAAGAACCCATGACTGTCATCTGTCCCTTGGAAACATCCCTGGTTTAATATGTTTAAAACATTCCTTCCCTCATCCTCTAAAAAATATGTATCATCATAGTTAAAGAGAAATGCAAACTTGTGGGAAAAAAACCTCAAATATCGTAGAACTGTATAAAACAAAGTGCAGACTAGACGCGGTGGCTCACGCCTGTAATCCCAGCACTTTGGGAGGCCAAGGTGGGTAGATCACCTGAGGTCAGGAGTTCAAGACCAGCCTGGCCAATATGGTGAAACCCCATCTCTAGTAAAATACAAAAATTAGCCAGGTGTAGTGGCGCCCACCTGTAATCCCAGCTACTCAAGAGGCTGAGGCAGGAGACTTGCTTGAACCCGGGAGGCAGAGGTTGCAGTGAGCCGAGATCACGCTACTGCACTCCAGCCTGGGCAACAGAGTGAGACTCCATCTCAAAAAAAAAAAAAAAAAAAAAGGCCAGGCACAGTGGCTCTTGCCTGTAATTCCAGCACTCTGGGAGGCCGAGGCGAGCCAATCACTTGAGGTCAGGAGTTTGAGACCAGCCTGGCCAACATGATGCAACCCCGTCTCTACTTAAAATACAAAAATTAGCCAGGCATGGTGGCGGCCGCCTGTAATCCCAGCTACTCAGGAGGCTAAGGCAGGAGAATTACTTAAACCAGGGAGGCAGAGGTTGCAGTGAGCCGAGATCACGCCACTGCACTCCAGCCTGGGTGACAGAGAGAGTCTCAAAAAAAAAAAAAAAAGAAAGTGCAGATCTCCCTGAGCAGAAGTTGGCCAACTTTCTATAAGAGACCAGATGGTAAATATATAGTCTCTGTCACATATTCTTTGGATTTCTTTTAAACAATCTTTGGATTTTGGATTTTTTAAAACAATCCTTTTATTAAAAAATGTAAAAACCATTCTTAGCTCATGTCTGTAACAATCTCCCTAAAAATGAATTTTCCAGAAGTCTTTATACATATATAAACTTTTGGTATATCTATTTGGTATACTTTTTTCATTTTTTCCTTTTAAATACTTTATTTTTTAGAGCAGTTTTAAGTTCACAGAAAAATTCAGCAGAAAGTACAGCGTTCCCATAAACCTGCCTCCACACACACACAGCCTGCCCTACTATCAACATTTACTTTTTACTTTATTTTCTCCCCTACCAGTTTATGGTTCAGCTTTCTGTGGTCTAAATTATTGTTATTTTTCTTTTTTCTTTTTTTATTTTTTTATTTTATTTTTTTTTTGAGACAAAGTTTCGCTCTGTCGCCCAGGCTGGAGTGCAGTGGCGCGATCTCGACTCACTGCAAGCTCCGCCTCCCGGGTTCACGCCATTCTCCTGCCTCAGCCTCCCGTGTAGCTGGGACTACAGGCGCGCGCCACCATGCCCGGCTAATTTTTGTATTTTTAGTAGAGACGGGGTTTCACCGTGTTAGCCAGGATGGTCTCGATCTCCTGACCTCGTGATCCGCCCGTCTCGGCCTCCCAAAGTGCTGGGATTACAGGCGTGAGCCACCGCGCCCGGCCTTTTATTTTTTATTGATCATTCTTGGATGTTTCTCGCAGAGGGGGATTTGGCAGGGTCATAGGACAATAGTGGAGGGAAGGTCAGCAGATTAACAAGTGAACAAAGGTCTCTGGTTTTCCTAGGGAGAGGACCCTGCGGCCTTCCGCAGTGTTTGTGTCCCTGGGTACTTGAGATTAGGGAGTGGTGATGACTCTTAACCAGCATGCTGCCTTCAGGATCTGTTTAACAAAGCACATCTTGCACCGCCCTTAATCCATTCAACCCTGAGTGGACTAAGCACATGTTTCAGAGAGCACAGGGTTGGGGGTAAGGTCACAGATCAACAGGATCCCAAGGCAGAAGAATTTTTCTTAGTACAGAACAAAATGAAAAGTCTCCCATGTCTACTTCTTTCTACACAGACACGGCAACCATCCGATTTCTCAATCTTTTCCCCACCTTTCCCCCCTTTCTATTCCACAAAACCGCCATTGTCATCCTGGCCCGTTCTCAATGAGCTGTTGGGTACACCTCCCAGACGGGGTGGTGGCCGGGCAGAGGGGCTCCTCACTTCCCAGTAGGGGTGGCCACCTCCCGGACGGGGCAGCTGGCCGGGCAGGGGGCTGACCACCCTCCTCCCTCCTGGAGGGGGCGGCTGGCCGGGCAGAGGGGCTCCTCACTTCCCAGTAGGGGCGGCCGGGCAGAGGCGCCCCTCACCTCCCAGACGGGGCGGCTGGCCGGGCGGGGGGCCGACCCCCCGACCTCCCTCCCGGACGGGGCGGCTGGCCGGGCGGGGGGCCGACCCCCCCACCTCCCTCCCGGACGGGGCGGCTGGCCGGCGGGGGGCTGACCCCCCCACCTCCCTCCCGGACGGGGCGGCTGGCCGGGCGGGGGGCTGACCCCCCCACCTCCCTCCCAGACGGGGCAGCTGGCCGGGCAGAGGGGCTCCTCACTTCCCAGTAGGGGCGGCTGGGCAGAGGCGCCCCTCACCTCCCGGACGGGGCGGTTGGCCGGGCGTGGGGCTGACCCCCCCACCTCCCTCCCGGACGGGGTGGCTGCCGGGCGGAGACGCTCCTCACTTCCCAGACGGGGTGGCTGCCTTGCGGAGAGGCTCCTCACTTCTCAGACGGGGCGGCTGCCGGGTGGAGGGGCTCCTCACTTCTCAGACGGGGCGGTTGCCAGGCAGAGGGTCTCCTCACTTCTCAGACGGGGCTGCCGGGCAGAGACGCTCTTCCCCTCCCAGACGGGGTCACGGCCGGGCAGAGGCGCTCCTCACATCCCAGACGGGGCGGCAGGGCAGAGGCGCTCCCCACATCTCAGACGATGGGCGGCCGGGCAGAGACGCTCCTCACTTCCTAGATGTGATGGCAGCCGGGAAGAGGCTCTCCTCACTTCCTAGATGGGATGGCGGCCGGGCGGAGACGCTCCTCACCTTCCAGACTGGGCAGCCAGGCAGAGGGGCTCCTCACATCCCAGACGATGGGCGGCCAGGCAGAGACGCTCCTCACTTCCCAGACGGGGTGGCGGCCGGGCAGAGGCTGCAATCTCGGCACTTTGGGAGGCCAAGGCAGGCGGCTGGGAGGTGGAGGTTGTAGCGAGCCGAGATCACGCCACTGCACTCCAGCCTGGGCACCATTGAGCACTGAGTGAACGAGACTCCATCTGCAATCCCGGCACCTCGGGAGGCCGAGGCTGGCGGACCACTCGCGGTTAGGAGCTGGAGACCGGCCCGGCCAACACAGCGAAACCCCGTCTCCACCAAAAAAATACGAAAACCAGTCAGGCGTGGCGGCGCATGCCTGCAATCGCAGGCACTCGGCAGGCTGAGGCAGGAGAACCAGGCAGGGAGGTTGCAGTGAGCCGAGATGGCAGCAGTACAGTCCAGCTTCGGCTCGGCATCAGAGGGAGACCGTGGAAAGAGGGAGAGGGGAGACCGTGGAAAGGGGAGGGGGAGAGGGAAGGGGAGAAGGAGAGGGAGAGGGAGAGCGAGAGGCTGTTATTTTTCTTTTTGAGACAGAGTCCCACTCTGTTGCCCAGGCTGGACTGCAGTGGCATGATCTCAGCTCACTGCAACCTCTTCCTCCTGGGCTGAAGCGATCCTCCCACATCAGCCTCCTGAGTAGCTGGGAATACAGGAGAGTGCCACCATGCCTGGCTAATTTTTGTATTTTTTAGTAGAGACGGGGATTCCCCATGTTGCCCAGTCTGGTCTCAAACTCCTGGGCTCAAACAATCCTCCCGCCTTAGCCTCCCAAAATGCTGATTACGGACGTGAGCCACCACACCCAGCCTTGTATATGTTTTTAATTGGCCGTTTGTATTTCTTTTATGACTTGTTTGTTCATGCCCTGTACACTAGTCCTTCTCAGATTTAATATGCACACAAACCACAATCACTTTGGGATATTATTAAAATGCAGGTTCTCAGCTGGGCGCAGTGGCTCACACCTGTAATCCCAGCACTTTGGGAGGCCGAGGCGGGTGGATCACGAGGTCAGGAGATCGAGACCATCTTGGCTAACATGGTGAAACACCGTCTCTACTAAAAATATGAAAAATTAGCCGGGCGTGGTGGCGGGCACCTGTAGTCCCAGCTACTCGAGAGGCTAAGGCGGTAGAATGGCGTGAACCCGGGAGGCAGAGCTTGCGGTGAGCAGAGATCTCACCACTGCACTCCAGCCTGGGTGACAGAGCGAGACTCTGTCTCAAAAACAAAAAATAAAAAATAATAATAAAATACAGGTTCTGATATGGAAGGCCTGGGATGGGGCTTGAAATTCTCCCTGTTTAACCAGCTCCCAGGTGATGACAATGCTACTGGTGTGTGGCCTACCCTTTGAGTAATTTTTTTACTGCTACGTAAGAGCATTTTATATAGTAAGAACAATATATTGATACAAATACTTCTCCAGGTTGTTGCCATCTAACTCTTTTTTTTTGAGACAGAGTCTCGCTCTGTCACTCAAGCTGGAGTGCAATGGCACGATCTCGGCTCACTGCAACCTCCACCTCTAAGGTTCAAGCGATTCTCCTGCCTCTGCCTCCCGAGTAGCTGGGATTACAGGCATGAGCCACCACACCTGGCTAATTTTTTTGTATTTTTAGTAGAGATGGGGTTTCACTCTGTTGACCAAGCTGGTCTCAAACTCCTGACCTAAGGTGATCCACCCGCCTTGGCCTCCCAAAGTGCTGGGATTGCAGACATGAGCCACTGCACCTGGCCTGTTGTCATCTAACTTTATGATAAATGTTGCCCTGGCTTTATATTTGTATGTAGTCAAATATGTTAATAGTTTCCTTCATGACTTCCGTATTTCAAAATGGCAGGTGCTTAGTTCCTCTCTGTGTCTTTTCCACCACAGGCAACAGATGCCCTTTATGAGGTGTTTTTGGGAAACAGGCTTCGAGCAGCTACGTTCCGACTCTTTCCTCAGCTTCTCATGACACTGCTTATCCAGATTCATCACAGCATCGGCCTCACCATGTCTGATGTCGACATCCCAAGTGGCCTGTACACAGAACAGGAAGTGCCTTCAGAGGTCACCCCTTTGTGGTACTGCCCATCATTATTTCATTGACATTAAGTAACACGTACTAAGCACTGGGCACTGTGGTGAACACAGGGATAGCCAAGATGTAGTCCCAACTGAAGGGGAGCTTACAACCTTCAACCCTCATGAGCCATCAAGATGAAATGCCCAGGAATCATTCTGAGCTTTCATTGGCTATCTTTGGTTTTATTAGTAACAAGGTAAATTTGGCTATCTGGGTTATATCTGGGTTAGCCAAATGTGATATTGTGTTAGCCCTTTCCTAATAAATCAAGTACAGACAGAAACAAAACAGCCTAAACCTACCTCCAAAACTGTACTGATCCACCATGCAGTGATTTCTGCTTTCTGTTTTATTGCATGGAGAGATATTTTTAAGTCCCATTAGAGTCTCAGTAGAAATTTCTTAGTGTTGTTGGTTGGGCATGGTGGCTCATGCCTGTAATCCCAGCACTTTGGGAGGCTGAGACAGGTGGATCACCTGAGGTCAAGAGTTTGAGACCAGCCTGGCCAACATGTGAAACCCTGTCTCTACTAAAAATACAAAAATTAGCTGGGCGTGGTGGCACATGCCTATAATTCCAGCTACTCAGGAGGCTGAGGCACGAGAATCACTTGAGCCCGGGAGGCAGAGATTGCAGTGAGCCGAGATCGTGCCGTTGCACTCCAGCCTGGGCAACAGAGCAAGACTCTGTCTCAAAAAGTAATAATAATAATAAAGACGTTTCTTAGTGTTGCTATGGCACATGGATTTCTTTCAGAGAAAGTACTATAATGTGACATATTTAAGAACACCAGACTAAGTCAGTAGACCTGAGTTCTAGTGCAGTTCTCATTCATCCATTCAACTAGTTCTATACCCTGGGCAAATCTATTGTTCTGTGCCTCAGTTTCCTTATCTATAAATGGAAAGGTCAGGCAAGGTGATCTCAAAGGACCATTCCAGCTTTATTATTTTGTTTTATTTTTTGAGACAGGGTCTCCATCTGTCACCCAGGCTGGAGTGCAGTGGCATGATCATGGCTCACTGCAGCCTCAACATCCTGGGCTCACGTGATCCTCCCACCTCAGCCTCCTGCGTAGCTGAACCACAGTTGCCTGCCACCATGCCCAGCTAATTATTTTTATTTTTTGTAGAGAAGGGGTCTCACTGTGTTGCTCAGGCTCCTTCCAGCTTTAAGATTCTCTGATGCTAGGTCCGGGATAACAGTTCAGTAAGTAGCTTTTAAAGGCAGTGGACGGCCAGGCACAATGGCTCATTCCTGTAATCCCAGCACTTTGGGAGGCCAAGGCAGGAGGATCATTTGAAGCTAGGAGTTTAAGAACAGCTTAGGCAATAGGGCAAGAGCCTGTCTCTACAAAAAATTTTTAGGCTGGGTGCAGTGGCCCACATGTGTAATGCCAACACTTTCGGAGGCCGAGGCAGGAGGACTACTTGAGCTCAGGAGTTCAACACCAGCCTGGGCAACGTGGTGAAACCCTGTCTCTATAAAAATTAGCCAGGTGTGTTGGAACACACTTGTGGTCCCAACTACTCGGGAGGCTGAGGTGGGAAGATTGCTTGAGCTTAGGAGATTGAGACTGCAGTGAGCAGAAATCGCGCCACCGCACTCCAGCCTGGGAGACAGAGCCAGACCCTGTCTCAGAAAAAAATTTTTTTTTCTTAAATTATTGGAGCCTGATGGCACATGCCTGTAATCCCAGCTGCCCTGGATGCTGAGGCAGGAGGATCACTTGAGCCCAGGAGCTCAAGGCTGCAGTGAGCCATGATGGCACCCTTGCCCTCCAGCTTGGGTGACAAAACAAGATCCTGTCTCAGTAAATAAATAAATAATAAAAACAGTGGAGATAAATAGTGTGGGGTAAATTGTATCTCAGTAAAGCTTTTAAAAAAGCAGTGTGTGTCTGTTTAGCATCCCAGATCATTTCTTTTATCATAGATTTCCTTCTAAACTCCTGGGGAAATGAGACCTAGTTAGATTTCTTTATGCTGAGATCTTGTGTAAAGGGCCTTACAAGTTATTAGAGCATTAAGACTCTTCTGGTCTCACTACTGCACTTGACTAGTCTTGAAAGTAGGCCGGGCACGGTAGCTCATGCCTGTAATTCCAACACTTTGGGAGGCCGAGACAGGCATATCATCTGAGGTCAGGAGTTTGAGACCAGCCTGACCAACATGGTGAAACCCAGTCTCTACTAAAAATAGAAAAATTAGCCAGGTGTGGTGGCGTGCACCTGTAATCCCAGCTACTCAGGAGGCTGAGGCAGGAGAATCGCTTGAACCAGGGAGGCAGAGGTTGCAGCAAGCCACGATCTCACCACTGCACTCTGGCCTGGGCAACAGAGCAAGCCTCCGTCTCAAAAAAAAAAAAAAAAAAAAAAAAGGAAGAAAGAAAAAGAAGAAGAAGAAAGTAAAAGAAAAAAGAGAAGAGTCTTTTGGGCAATTTGGAAAGCAGAGAATTACAGTCCAGCAGTTGTCAATGCATGACCCTCCTCACTGAGAATGGGATGACTGTGTGCTGGTAAGTTGGAGGGACCTGTTCAAATCACCCACACTGTTTTCGTTTGATTTAGCTTTGCCATGCAGGCTACAAAGACTCTCCTCCTCAGAACATGCTGCTTGCAGGAATTCAACATCATGGAAAAGAATAAAGGATGGGCTCTCCTGGGAGGAAAAGATGGCCATCTTCAGGGACTATTTCTCCTTGCCAAGTAAGGCTTCCTTGTCATGCATACACCCACCTGTTCTAAATCGGCATTGTTTTGAGTATTTATTTCCCTTCTAGTTATCACAGCAACTAAGGTTGAATAACCTCCTTATAAGAGGGTGGGCAAATATCCATAATGCTAGGCAAATTTTTCAGAGGTCCTGGCCCTACCGTATACTATCCTGTAGCTGGGCAAGAACTTCTAGAGGGTCCCCAGCCCTGAGACAATGCCCTCTGGATGGGAGCATTCCTGAGAGTCATTCTGTTGGTGTTGTGTTTTGCAGCGCATTGCTGGAAAGAAATCAGCTCCTTGCACAGAAGGTCATGTACTTATTAGTCCCTCTTCTTAACCGAGGGAATGATAAACATAAACTCACATCTGCAGGCTTTTTTGTGGAGGTAAGACTCATTGTTTAGAAGCTGGATTCAGGAAGCCTATGAAGCAGCAATCCCTGCCTTCCTAGGCTACATCGAGTTAGTGGCATGTTGGGATCTGTTTCAAGAGTGAGATAGAAATAATTTTCAGATTCAAGGGCAGGCGCGGTGGCTCACGCCTGTAATCCCAGCACTTTGGGAGGTTGAAGCGGGCGGATCACCTGAGTTCAGGAGTTCAAAACTAGCCTGGCCAACATGGTGAAACCCCGTCTCTACTAAAAATACAAAATAATTAGCTGGGCATGGTGGCGGGCACCTGTAATCTCAGCTACTCGGGATGAGGCATGAGAATCGCTTGAACCCGGGAGGCAGAGATTGCAGTGAGCCAAGATCGCACCACTGCACTCCAGCCTGGGCAACAGAGTGAGACTCCATCTCAAAAAAACAAAACAAAACAAACACACAAAAAAGAAAGAATTTTCAGATTCAAGCCTCTCAAAAATCTTCTTTCCACACATGCATAATTCAGTATTCTTTGTGTACCTATAGGGTAAATAAACATCATCCTGTATGTTCTGTAATAGAGATTTAAAAGGAAAATATGTACTTTAGCATTGGTGGGAAGGTAGCTCCCCACATGAAAAAGGGCTTAAAGGTCATTTTTTGGGCTGATCTCTGGGTTCTTTCAGCTTCTCCGGAGTCCAGTGGCCAAGAGACTGCCCAGCATATACTCTGTTGCCCGCTTTAAAGACTGGCTACAAGATGGAAATCATCTCTTTAGAATTCTCGGCCTGAGGGGACTGTACAATCTTGTTGGACACCAGGAGATGGTAGGAGGGGCCCCCAGACCATGGATTCTTTTCTTTTCTTTTCTTTTCTTTTCTTTTCTTTCTCTTTCTTTCTGTCCCTCTCTTTCTTTCTTTCTTTCTCTTCCTTCCTTTCTTTCTTTCCCTTCTTTCTTTCCTTTTTCTTTCTTTCCTTCCTTTCTTCCTTTCCTTCTCTTTCTTTTCTTTTCTCTCCTTCCTTCCTTCTTTCTTTCTTTTTTTTTTTTTCTTTTTTTAAGATAGGGTCTTGCTTTGTGACCCAGGCTGGAGTTCAGTGACACCATCGCTGCGTGCCGCAGCTTCAACCTCCCGGGCTCAAGTGATCCTCTCACCTCAGCCTCCTGAGTAGCGGGGACCACAGGCACATGCCACTATGCCCAGCTGATTTTTAAAATTTTTGTAGAGACAGAGTCTCACTGTGTTGCCAGGGCTGCTCTCGAACTCCTGGTCTCAAGTGATCTGTCCACCTCAGCCTCCCAAAATACTGGGATTACAGGTGTGAGCCACAGCGCCTGGCCCAGATCACTGATTCCTAAGATACCAATTAATCACCCCAAAATAATACCTAAGAAACTGAAAATAGCTGAAGACAATTGGGTAGCCTGGGGACAGGAGTAGGTGGGAGAGGGTCTTTTTTCCTGCACATCCTTTTGTATCATTTAAAGTTTTATGCCTAAGAAATAGGCAAGTACTGACTATTTAAAAATTAATGAAATTGGCCAGGCGTGATGGCTCACGCCTGTAATCACAGCACTTTGGGAGGCCGAGGCGAGTGGATCACGAGGTCAGGAGTTTGAGACCAGCCGGACCAACATGGTGAAACCCCATCTCTACTAAAAATATAAAAATTAGCTGGGCATGATGGCACATGCCTGTAATCCCAGCTACTCAGTAGGCTGAGGCAGGAGAATCGCATGAACCCGGGAGGCAGAGGTTGCAGTGAGCCAAGATGGCACCACTGCACTCTAGCCTGGGTAACAGAGCAAGACTCCGTCTCGGGAAAAAAAAAAAAAGTTAGGCCAGGCACGGTGGCTCACGCTTATAATCCCAGCACTTTGGGAGCCGAGGCGGGTGAATCACCTGAGGTCGAGAGTTTGAGACTAGCCTAACCAACATGGAGAAACCCCGTCTCTACTAAAAATACAAAAAAATTAGCCAGGTGTGGTGGCACATGCCTGTAATCCCAGCTACTTGGGAGGCTGAGGCAGGAGAATCGTCTGAACCCAGGAAGCGGAGGTTGCAGTGAGCCGAGATCGCACTATTGCACTCCAGCCTCGGCAACAAGCGCGAAACTCTGTCTCACAAAAAAAGAGAAAAAAAGAGTTAATGGAATTAAATGAAATAAATAAAAAGTCCAAATTATATATATTCATAATAGTTGATAGCTGCAATTTGCAGGGGAGGTATACTCATTATCACAACCTGGACAGCATTTAGGTATTGTTTTATGCCTTGTACCGTGTTGCCCCATGGAGTAGATTGAAAAGACCATTGATATGCTCCCAAGATGCTTGTCATCTAAAAAAAAGATCACTGACATTCATGTTGGAAGAAAGCTCATCTTCCATAGGCCTGGTGAGAAAACTAAGCCTAAGCCAGAAGACATGAGGAATTTCTGAAGCTTCAGTTTTGTCACTGGAGTTCTATTCTTTTTTTTTTTTTTTTTGAGACAGGGACTCTCTTTGTCACCCAGGCTAGAGTGCAGTGGCACAATCTCGGCTCGCCGCAACCTCTGCCTCCCGGCTTCAAGTGATTCTCCAAGTCTCCAAGTCCCAGCTTTCCAAATACCTGGGACTACAGGCATCTGCCACTACACCTGGCTAATTTTTGTATGTTTTAGTAGGGACAGGGTTTCACCATGTTGGCCAGGCTGGTCTCGAACTCCTGACCTCAAGCGATCTGGCTGCCTCACCCTTCCAAAATGCTGGGATTACAGGTGTGAGCCACCACAGGTGGCTTGGAGTTCTATTTTATTTATTTATTTATTTTTACTTTTTTTTTTTTTTTTTGAGACAGAGTCTTGCTCTGTCACCCAGGCTGAAGTGCAGTGGCACAATCTCGGCTCACTGCAACCTCCGCCTCCCGGGTTCATGCCATTCCCCTGCCTAATTTTTTGTATTTTTAGTAGAGACAGGGTTTCATGTGTTAGCTAGGATGGTCTCGATCTCCTGACCTCATGATCCGCCCGCCTCGGCCTCCCAAAGTGCTGGGATTACAGGCGTGAGCCACCACACCTGGCCTATTTTTACTTTTTAAATTTTTTTAGAGACAGGGTCTTGCTCTGTTGCCCAGGCTAGAGAACAGTGGCATGATCATGGCTCACTGCAGCCTTGAACTCCTGGCCTTAAGCAGTCCTCTTACCTCAGCCTGCAGAGTAGCTGGGATTACAGGCATGAGCCGCTTCACCAAATATTTTATTTAAAAATATTTGGGGCCAGGCGCAGTGGCTAGCGCCTGTAACCCCAGCACTTCGGGAGGCCAAGGCGAGCAGATCACATGAAGTCAGGAGTTTGAGACCAACCTGGCCAACATAGTGAAACCCCATCTCTACTAAAAATGCAAAAATTAGCCATGGTAGCATGTGCCTGTAGTCCCAGCTACTTGGGAGGCTGAGGCAGGAGAATTGCTTAAACCCGTGAGGCAGAGGTTGTAGTGAGCCGAGATTGCGCCACTGCACTCCAGCCTGAATGACAGAGCGACATACTGTCTCAAAAAAAAAAAAAAGAAAAAAGTGTTTCTGAAGCAAAAATGACGAATGTCAGTGTATGTTAATTCTGGTTGATTGGATACATTAATATCGCTTTATTCTACTTACTTTTTCTTTTTTTTAAAACTGGCTTCCTAACTTGTGTTTATATTCTACTTACTTTTTCATGTGTACGTTTAAACTTTACAACCCTGAGATTGTTTCCTTTCAGTAGTTTCAGAAGAGCAGAATCCCCATTCAGAATGAGAAGAACCCTTAAGTCCTCGGTCAAATTCTGCTTGAATTCCTGCCAGGGGATCCATTTTCACACTGCTATAAAGATACTCCCTGAGCTGGGTAATTTATAAACGAAGGAGGTTTACTAGACTCACAATTCTGCATGGCTAGGGAGGCCTCAGGAAACTTACAATCATGGTGGAAGGCAAAGGGGAAGCAGGTACATCTTCACAATGGCGGAGCAGGAGAGAGACAGAAAGCAGGGGAAACTGCCACTTTTATTTTATTTTTTATTTTTATTTTTTTTGAGATTGAGTCTCTCTGTGTCACCTAGGGTGGAGTGCAGTGGTGTGATCTCAGCTCACTGCAACCTCTGCCATTTGAGTTCAAGCTATAGCAATTCTCCTGCCTCAGCCTCCTGAGTAGCTGGGACTACAGGCAGGCACCACCACACCAGGCTTTTTTTTTTTTTTTTTTTTTTTGAGACAGAGTTTTGTTCTTGTAACCCAGGCTGGAGTACAATGGTGCGATCTCGGCTCACTACAACCTCCACCTCCCTGGTTCAAGCTATTCTGCCTCAGCCTCCCAGGTAGCTGGGATTACAGGTATGTGCCACCATGCCTGGCGAATTTTTGTATTTTTAGTAGAGACAGGGTTTTGCCATGTTGGTCAGGTTGGGCTCGAACTCCTGACTGCAGGTGATCCGCCCACCTCGGCCTCCTAAAGTGCTGGGATTACGGGCGTGAGCCACTGTGCCCAGCCTAATTTTTGTATTTTTAGTAGAGGTGGGGTTTCGCTGTATTGGCCAGGCTGGTCTCGAACTCCTGACCTCGAGTAATTCACCTGCCTCGGCCTCCCAAAGTGCTGGGATTACAGGCATGAGCCACTGCACCCAGCCAAAACTGCCATTTTAAAACCATCAGATCTCCTGAGAACTCCCTCACTATCATGAGAACAGCATGGGGGAAACAGCCCTCATGATCCAATCACTTCCCACCAAGTCTCTCCCTCTACAAGTGGGAATTACAGTTCGAGATGAGATTTAGGTGGGGACACAGAGCCAAACCATATCAGGATCTTTGAGCCTCTGTTTGGATATCTTGTGTGTTTGGGAGCTCACCGTGGCCTGAGCTACCTGTTCCACTTTCCCTTGTTAGCAGAGCTCTTCCTTACAGTGAGCCCAAGCCCATAGCCCTAGACCTTCCCTGCCTGGTCCCACTTTTGCCCTTGAGGCAACTCAAAGCAGCTCTGCCCCTCTTCTATGTATCAGACCTCCAGTACTGAGAGAAGGCCATCATATCCCCTTCTTCTCCCTTCTGGATCTACCACCCCTAACAAAAATCAGTGAGCACTAGGTACTGAGTAAAGATGGGGAGCACCCCCTTTGGTACCAGGTGACGTGCGATTTGGAGAAAAGGTGATATGCTCCCTTTGGCCATGCAGAGAGAAGACATCAAGAGCCTGTTGCCATACATTGTAGACAGCTTGCGTGAAACCGATGAGAAGATCGTTCTGTCAGCCATCCAGATACTCCTGCAACTTGTTAGAACAATGGATTTCACTACCCTGGCTGCCATGATGAGGACCCTGTTCTCCTTATTTGGTGATGTAAGACAATCAGAGAGGACAGACTTTCCTAGGAGGAGGGTAATGGGCATAACAGCAAACAGAAGTTGGTATAGTAATAAATACACTCTACTTGGTATAGGACTTTTACTTTCAGAGCATTTCAAACCTCCTCTCTTAAGACCCTACTAGGTAACCTGTGATGTTGATAGGGCAGATGTTATTGTTTTTCAGGTTTAACCAAAAAAAAAAAAAACAACTGAACATAGAAACTTGCTAAGGTACTACCCTGCTTTGTGATGGGGAAGGGGAAAACATTGTCTTTCCCTTCAAGAACTATCAGAACTGGGTCAAGATGGTGGATGATACTTATGTCCCTGTCCCAAATGCCATATATTTCTCAAGAGGAAATGCATAGAGCACAATGACCAGCATCCTTGGAAGAGTAAAACATACCAAGGCTGGGATTTCGAATTTCAACAAAGCAGCCTGTGTGAATGGTTCCTGCCTGTACCAGGCACGAGGTTTGCCGACTACAGGTGAGACTATGTGCATCTCTCACTTGTAGGGTGAGAAAACAAGTAGTGCCAAAGCAGCAAGTCTTACTGTGTCCATATATAGAGAGAGAGGGGGAGGGAGACGGAGTCTTGCTCTGTCACCCAGGCTGGAGTGCAGTGGCATGATCTTGGCCTACTGCAACCTCCACCTCCTGGGTTCAAGCGATTCTCCTGCCTCAGCCTCCCGAGTAGCTGGGACTACAGGCATGCGCCACCACGCCCAGCTAATTTTTGTATTTTTAGTGGAGATGGGGTTTCCCCATATTGGCCAGGCTGGTCTTGAACTCCTGACCTCAAGTGATCTGCCTGCCTCAGCCTCCTAAAGTGCTGGGATTACAGGCGTGAGCCACTGCGCCTGGCCTGTGTCCACGTATATTTTATTTCTTGCCTTCAGCTACATACAGCTAAATAGCCTCATTGTCAGGACTGGCTTTTCAACCCCTCCCAGGTTGTTACAAGCTAAGCACGCACACGTTCAGTGAATTGCTTCCCTTTGGCTACTCCCTTCCCAGGTGAGATCTGATGTTCATCGTTTCTCCGTGACTCTCTTTGGAGCCGCCATAAAGTCTGTAAAAAACCCAGATAAGAAGAGTATAGAGAACCAAGTCCTGGACAGCTTGGTCCCACTACTTCTGTATTCTCAGGATGAAAATGATGCAGTAGCTGAGGTAAGGCCTACTGTCGGTGTCTCTCATCCCTCAAACTTCAAATCCAGAGCCAACTCTGCAAAGAAAAGAAGCATTCATATACTCATATAGATAGATACATACATACATACATACATTCATACCTACATACATACATAGACAGACAGACAGACAGACAGACAGATAGATATACATATATATTTTTGAGACAGGGTCTCTGTCGCCCAGGCTGGAGTGCAGTGGTGTGATCTCGGATCACTGCAACCTCCACCTCCTGGGTTCAAGCAACTCTTCTGCCTCAGCCTCCTGAGTAGCTGGGATTACAACTGCCCACTACCATGCCTGGCTAATTTTTGTATTTTTAGTAGAGATGGGGTTTTGCCATGTTGGCCAGGCTGGTCTCGAACTCCTGACCTCAAATCATCTACCTGCTTGGCCTCCCAGAGAGCTGGGATTACAGGCATGAGCCACTGTGCCTGGCCTGACATTTCAATTTTTCGTGATTACAGTTCTGCAATTATTTTACCTGTTTCCTTGTGCACGCATATGAGAGTTTCTTGAGGGCATAAAACCTCAAGTAGAATATCTAGGTATCTTTAACTTTTTATTAGATATTTATAAATCACTAAACACAGTGGCTGAAGTAATTTATATGCCCATCAGTAGCCAAAGGAATTTTTATGGCCCAAACATCTAGTGGACCTGAGATAAAATACTGGCTTGGAGATTCATCAGAGGTGTTGCATGGTGTATGGGTGGCATTCTGAGAACAATGAACTAGAAAAGAGACCCACTTGCTAAATTTTGCTCAAGGATGTGGATCAGGAAGAGATCAGTCCTCTAGAGTTCCTTCCTTCCAACCCAGAGATGCCACAAGGACAGAAGTCAGGGGCTACACTTCCTTTGTAGAGTGACAGAAAAATGGCATAGGAACAGTAAGTGGAGGTGGGAGCTTCATCTCTAGGGCACAGGGTAATGGGAATTCCTGCCCAAACCTCTGGTCTAGGGATTACATCTGCAAGCTGTCACTTTTGCCCAACACCAGTGGTTTCTACATCCTCCCCAGAACCCTAGGGTTTTTGTGGATTCCACGTAAGGACTATTTGGAGAAGTTGGAGGAGGAGGGCAGGATTCTAGTTCCTTTCCGCTCTTCTGCTCTCTTTTATCAGTTTTTCATATTGTACTTTAGTACTAGTTTTATTGAAGAAAGATTACCTCTGTTTAAAAATGAGGCTGGGCACGGTGGTTCACGCCTGTAATCCCAGCACTTTGGGAGGCCAGGGTGGATGGATCACCCGAGGCCAGGAGTTCAAGACCAGCCTGGCCAACATGGCAAAACCCTGTCTCTACTAAAAATACAAAAATTAACCGGGCATGGTGGTGGGCGCCTATAATCCCAGCTACTCAGGAGGCTGAGGGAAGAGAATTGCTTGAACCCGGGAGGTGGAGGTCGCAGTGAGCCAAGATGGCACTGCTGTAGTCCAGCCTGAGCGACAGCATGAGATTCCAGCTCAAAAAAATAAAAATGTTTGAAAATGCTGATCTATGGTCATCTTTTTCACAGGAGAGCAGGCAAGTCCTAACTATATGTGCCCAGTTCCTGAAGTGGAAGCTGCCCCAAGAAGTGTACTCCAAAGATCCCTGGCACATCAAACCTACTGAAGCAGGAACAATCTGCAGATTCTTTGTATGTGAGCAATAATGGCTTTGTTAACTCTTCAACATACTGAGAGACCTATTTTCTTCTGACACACTATTTAATGACAGAACATGGCATGCAAGAAACATTTCCCATTTCTTTTCACATCAGCAGTTGATATCTATGACCTGTTTTTTATTGTGGATTTATGTTTCTATAGTTCCCTCCCAACTGAGTCACAAAGTTAGTTTCGATTGCCACTCTTAGTCATGAAAAGACTGGTGGACTCTTAGGAGCCCTTCTAACATGGGTCAGAGGCTACAAGGTCAGGTTGATGCTGAAAAAGTTACTTATGGACTGAATTGAAATGGAGTTATATATTGCTTTTATAACTATCTTGAATCCTTTCCTTGACTAGAACGGATTGTTTTACTGTCCATCAGAGCATGTCCAGGGAGTCCCAAGCAAGGGCTGCCATGCTGTGTGGCCATGCAGCATGATGGCAGCATGCCACTGGTTCTGCCAGGACCCAGGTGGTATCATTTCTCTTCACGAACTCCACAGAGGCTACTGTGTCTGATCTCAGGGTCAAGCTTGAGCCTGGGCTGCCTCAGGAAGCCCATCCATGGTTTTCTAGAAGCTGACCCTAGAACCACCTAGCAGACCCTAGGACTGACTATTCCCAGGAGTCTTCCATATGTATCACCTCTTTAGGACCCACAGAAGCTTTCTGTGATCGGACTTGCAGTGCCCTTGTGTCGGGGTTTCCATTAGGGATTATCTGTCTGATCTGCACCCAAACCTATAGCTGATACACTGATGACAGTATTTACAGAAGGAAATTTGGTGCTGTCAACTACAAGTTGTCCATGTTAATTAAGCCATAAGTTCTATCAAAATAAATTCCTATTTTCCCCCTCCTTTTTTTTTTTTTTTTGAGACAGAGTCTCAGTTGCCCAGGCCTCAGCCTCCCAAGTAGCTGGGATTACAGGCTTACACCACCATGTCTGGCTAAGTTTTGTATTTTTTAGCAGAGCTGGGGTTTTGCCATGTTGGCCAGGCTGTTCTGGAACTCCTGACCTCAGGTGATCCACTCAGCTCAACCTCCCAAAGTGTTGGGATTACAAGCATGAGCCACCATGCCCAGCCTCCCCCTCCTATTCTTGAGGTGCCTATCCTTATAAAAGATCCACTGAGAGGTGCCTTCCTTCACCCAAAAGCCATAACAGGCCATAGAGAACCCAAGGATTAAAACTTCCTGAGGGGGCTGGGCGTGGTGGCTCACGCCTGTAATCCTAGCACTTTGGGAGGCCGAGGCGGGTGGATCACAAGGTCAGGAGTTCGAGACCAGCCTGGCCAATATGGTGAAACCCCGTCTCTACCAAAAATACAAAAAAAAAATTAGCTGGGCTTGGGGGCAGGAACCTATAGTCCCAGCTACTTGGGAGGCTGAGGCAGGAGAATTGCTTGAACCCAGGAGGTGAGGGTTGCAGTGAGCCAAGACCGCGCCACTGCACTCCAGCCTGGGCGACAGAGCAAGGCTCCTTCTGAAAAAACAAAAACAAAAACAAACTTCCTGAGGGGAGCCTGCAAGCTAGCAAAGGAGATAAAACCTCGATGTAAAAAAGTGCGTGCCGGGAGAGGAGTACCTGCAAAATGCTCAGAGCAGGGTTAGGTCAGGCAGGCAAGCAGTCAAGGACAAGCTCATAGGGAGGCAGAACTCAAGGTGGAACTTAAAGAACAAAGACTTAGATACAGAGAAGCCAAGATGGCTTTAGAAACATTACAGGCACAATATATGGCATGAGTGGGTACAAGCAAGGGGCATTCACAGGATTTAGAATAACTTGGTCTAGGGGCTTGTTATTCTGGTATAATACTCATTCAGCAACTGTAGTTATTTCAAACACTACTGTACTCTCTCTGATAGAGTCTCTGACCCCAGAAACTGTGGTAAGGCTGATCAATAGAGTGCTGCTGCTTCACTGCTTTATACTTACTTTTTTCCACACTTAGGAAAAAAAGTGCAAGGGGAAAATTAACATCCTAGAACAAACACTGATGTACTCCAAGAACCCAAAACTTCCCATCAGAAGATCAGCAGTCTTGTTTGTAGGTACAAAGAAAGTCCTTTCATTCCTACAGTCACTTTTGTCCTGTACTTTCCCAAATTATGTTGTCAAGCATCCCTTCTTTTTTTCTTTTTTGAGACGGAGTCTCGCTGTGTCACCCAGGCTGGAGTACAGTGGCGCCATCTCGGCTCACTGCAAGCTCCACCTCCCGGGTTCATGCCATTTTCCTGCCTCAGCCTCCCGAGTAGCTGGGACTACAGGCGCTCACCATCACGCCCGGCTAAATTTTTTTGTATTTTTAGTAGAGACAGGGTTTCACCGTGTTAGCCAGGATGGTCTCGATTTCCTGACCTCGTGATCTGCCCGCCTCGGCCTCCCAAAGTGCTGGGATTACAGGCGTGAGCCACGGTGCCTGGCCCTCTGTCTTTGTTTTGTTTTGTTTTGTTTTGTTTTGTTTTTGAAACTGAGTTTCACTCTTGCTGCCCAGGCTGGAGTGCAGTGGCACGATCTCAGCTCACTGCCACCTCCACCTTCTGGGTTCAAGTGATTGTCCTGCCTCAGCCTCCTGAGTAGCTGGGATTACAGGTGCCTGCCACCACACCTGGCTAATTTTTCTTTTTTTTTTTTTTTTTGAGAGAAGTCTCGCTCTTGTCCCCCAGATTTGAATGCAATGGCTTGATCTCAGCTCACTGCAACCTCTGCCTCCCGGGTTGAGATTCTCCTGCCTCTGCCTCCCAAGTGGCTGGGATTAAGTCGCCTGCCACCACACCCTGCTAATTTTTATATTTTTTAGTAGAGATGGGGTTTCACCATGTTGGCCAGGCTGGTCTTGAACTCCTGACCTCAGGTGATCCGCCCGCCTCGGCCTCCCAAAGTGCTGGGATTACAGGCGTGAGCCATCGCGCCTGGCCTAATTTTTGTATTTTTAGTAATGATGGGGTTTCACCATGTCGGCCAGGCTAGTCTTGAACTCCTGACCTCAGGTGATCCACCCACCTCAGCCACCAAAATTGCTGGGATTACAAGCGTAAGCCACCGCGCCCAGTCAGTATCCCCATTTTTATGTATGTATGGTGTGGGGGTTTTATGTGTGTAGGCGGGGGTGGTGATTTGAGACAAGGTCTCACTTCGTTGCCCAAGTTGAAGCACAGTGGCACCACCATGGCTTGCTGCAGCCTCAACATCCTGGGCTCAAGCAATCCTCCTACCTCCCTCAGCCTCTTGAGTATCTGGGACTATAGGCATGTGCCACCATGCCCAGCCAATTTTTTTTTTTTTAAGAGACAAGGTCTTGCTATATTGCCCAGGGTGGTCTTAAACTCCTGGGCTCAAGCAGTCTTCCTGCCTCAGCCTCCCAAAGTGCTGGGATTACAGGCATTAGTCACTGTACCCGGCTGTGAGTCACTGCACCCGGCCAAGTATCCCCATTCTTTATGAAGATGACCTTGGAAGAAGGGGCCCTGTTACCTATAGGTAACTACCAGGCACCTGGAAGCCCAGTTTTTGGAATCTGCCTAATTATCAGAAGGCCGATTCTGCCGGCTGCTTAGATGTCTTAATGATAAAAACTTTTAGATATTCATTTCCAAGAGCAAAAGCCAGATCACAGACTCACTGACTTTATCCTGCCTTTAGGCCTTTTATCGAAGTACATGGATCACAATGAGCTCAGGAGGATGGGTACTGACTGGATAGAGGACGGTAAGTGATAACAGTCCTTGAATTTGGGGTGTACCCATATTTTGGAAGGTATCCGAGGCAGCCAGTGTGGGAAGGCTTTATAGCAGAGCTGAGACCCTGAGCTCTAGAAAACCTGGTTTTTGTAGCAGGAATCCTGTTGGTGATTTCAGCTGAATGACAGTCCCATCCCAGTCCAGTTTCCCCTTTAGGAAAGGACATCACCCTATTTGTCTGGAAGCTAGCTTTGATGAGTCTCAGAGACAGTTCCTGAGCCTTGTCTGTCAGCAAATAAGACATTACCTAGAAATACTATCTTAGTAAATTATGATGATTCCTCATAAGTACCACAGAGATGACTGCAGTACTATTTTCTATAAGCCGTTGTCCTGTAACTTAGGTAGGACTTGGTAATAGAGATGTTTTATAGTCACATTTTTCTTTAATTTTTTTTCTTTAATGTTTTTCTTTCAAATCTCCTATTCTGAGAAACAGGCATTCTTTTTTTTTTTTTTTTTTTCTTTCGAGATGGAGTCTTGCACTGTCGCACAGTCTGGAGTGCAGTGGCCTGATAATGGGTCACTGCAACCTCCACCTCCCGGGTTCAAGTGATTCTCCTGCCTCAGCCTCCCGAGTAGCTGGGATTACAGGCACGCACCACCACGCCCTGCTAATTTTTGTATTTTTAGTAGAGACGGGGTTTCACCATGTTGGTCAGGCTGGTCTCAAACTCTTGGCCTCAGGTGATCCACCCACCTCGGCCTCCCAAAGGGCTGGGATTACAGGCATGAGTCACCACGCCCAGCCAAAACAGGCATTCTTTATTCCCACTAAGAAGTAGTCCTACCATTAGAAAATGCCATATGATGCTGTCTTACAATCCAAAATTATTACTTGCAGAATCTAATCAAAATCCTAGTAATTCATTACTTATAAAATAAAAACATAACTGGTGAAACAGCTAGGAGCTAAAGCTTATTTAAGAAAGATCATGCCACTTTTCTCTAAGGTCTCCCACTTCCTCACAGATATCAGAAGCCAAAGAAAGGAGGCTGGGTGCAATGGCTCACACCTGTAATTCCAGCACTTAGGGAGGCCGAGGTGGGAGGATTACTTGAGCCCAGGAGTTCAAGACCAGCCTGGGCAACACAGTGAGACCTCATCTCTCCATATGTTTGTATGTGTGTGTGTGTGTGTATATATATATATATATTTTGAGATGGAGTCTTGCTCGGTCGCCCAGGGTGGAATGCAGTGGTGTGATCTCAGCTCACTGCAGCCTCCGCCTCCTGGTTTCAAGCGATTCTCGTGCCTCGGTCTCCCAAGTAGCTGGGATTACAGGTGCCCGCCACCACGCCTGGCTAATTTTTGTATTTTTAGTAGAGACGGGTTTCACCATGCTGGCCAGGCTGTTCTCGAACTCCATACCTCAGGTGATCCACCCACCTCAGCCTCCCAAAGTGCCAGGATTACAGGCATGAGCCACCGCACCTGGCCTCTATTTAAAAAAAAAAAAAAAAAAAAAAATTAGTGGGTATGGTGGTGTGCGCCTGTGGTTCTAGCTACTCAGGAGGCCGAGGTGGGAACATCGTTTGAGCCCAGGAGGTCAAGGCTTCAGTGAGCCGAGATTGCACCACTGCACTCCAGCCTGGGTGACAGAGTAAGACTCCATCAAAAAACAAAAAAAAAAAGAAAGAAAAGGAAGGAAGGAAGGAAAGAAAGAAGAAAAGAAAAGAAAGTAAGAAAGAAGCCATGTGGATTATTCCAAGGGATAGGATTCTATATGGCTGATTCTGTTCAAATAAAAAGAAATTATTTTCTAATCTAAATGGGGGATGAAACTTCCTTTTCCATTCAAAAGTTATCTATATGAAAAATCTAGAAAATATATATAATTATGTGCATATAGATTAGAATGAACCATATGTGATTGACATTTCATGTTCTGTGGACCATGGCCGGGTGCGTGGCTCACGCTTGTAATCCCAGCACTTTGGGAGGCCGAGGCAGGTGGATCACCTTAGGTCAGAAGTTCAAGACCAGCCTGGCTAACATGGTGAAATCCCGTCTCTACTAAAAATACAAAATTAGCCAGGTGTGATGGCGCATGCCTGTAGTCCCAGCTACTCGGGAGGCAGAAGCAGGAGAATCACATGAACCTGGGAGGCGGAGGTTGCAGTGAGCCGAGATGCGACAGGGCGAGCCTTCATCTCAAAAAGTAATAACTAACTAACTAAATAAATAAATAAATAAATAAATGTTCTGTGAAACATGTAGACAGACCTCAATGCAGGAAGTGAAGGAAACTACAAACTAGTGAAATGTTACATTTTGCAAGCAAACAAGATGAATTTAAAGGCAAAACACTGCTTAATAAATATAAAGCTCCAAATTATGAAGAGGTCTTGAGCGTTTTTGAGACCTTGGAGAATTATACATAAAAAAGAGAACCTGGCCCGGCACAGTGGCTCATGCCTGTACTCCCAGCACTTTGGAAGGCTGAGAGGGTAGATCACCTGAGGCCAGGAGTTCAAGACCAGCCTGGCCAACATGGCGAAACCCCGTCTCTACTAAAAATACAAAAATTAGCTGGGCATATTGGCACACACCTGTAATCCCAGCTACTCAGGAGGCTGAGACACGAGAATTGCTTGAACCTGGGAGGCAGAGGTTGCAGTGAGCCAAGAACGTGACATTGCACTCCAGCCTGAGCAACAGAGCAAGACTCTGTCTCAAAAAAATAAATTAATTAATAAAATAAAATAAAAAAGAGAACCTTTTCTAAGTATGATACTAAAGGCATATCCATAAAATAAAAGAATGGTAGATTTGTCTACATAAAAATTTAAAAACCAACTTTGAAAAAGAGAGAAATAGTTAAAAGTGAAATGCAAACAATAATATGAAGGGAAATATTTGCAACATGATAAAGGGTTAACACCCTTAAATCAAATTAGAAACCCTCAAAAGAAAACTGGCAAACAATATGAATAAGAGGTTCATAGAATAATTACAAATCGCCAATAAATAGATGAAAGATATTTGATATTACTAGTAATCAGAGGTTTACAAAATAAATCATGATGAGATGACAGTATGCGTTTTTCTGTCGAAATGGCAAAGATTACCAATTAATAAACTTTGGGCCGGGCACAATGGCTCATGCCTGTAATCCCAGCAGTTTGGGAGGCCCAGGTGGGTGGATTACCTGAGGTCAGGAGTTTGAGACCAACCTGACCAATACGGTGCAACCCCGTCTCTATTAAAAATACAAAAATTAGCCAGGTGTGATTCAAGGAGAATTGCTTGAACCCGGGAGGCAGAGGTTGCAGTGAGCCGAGATTGCGCCACTGTACTCCAGCCTGGCTGAGTGACAGAGTGAGACTTCGTCTCAAAAAAAAAAAAAAGAAAAAGAAAAAGAAATTCTCCTGCCTCCGCCTCCTGAGTAGCTGGGATTACAGGCACCATGTCCGGCTATTTTTTGTATTTTTAGTAGAGGCGGGGTTTCACCATGTTGGTCAGGCTGGTCTCGAACTCCTGACCTTGTGATCTGCCCGCCTCAGCCTCCCAAAGTCCTGGGATTACAGGCGTAAGCCACCGTGCCCAGCCTGACTTATCAATTCTTGTTTAGGAATTTAATCTATGAAAATAAGCAGAAATAGTTACAGGAATGTCCATTTATTGTTATTTAGAATAACAAAAGTGGGAAATAATCTAGATTGGAAACAATAGATAATTAAAGAAATTATAGCATATTCATATTGTAGAATTATATACAGGTTGAGCATCCCTAATCAAAAAAATCCAAAATCTGAAATGTTCTCCAACCCGAAACTTCTTGAGTGTTAACGTGACACCACAATGGGAAAATTCCATACCTGACCTACCTCATAAGACAAAACACAATCAAGCCAGTTGTGGTGGCTCACGCCTGTAATCCTAGCACTTTGGGAGGCCAAGGCAGGCGGATCACCTGAGGTCAGGAATTCAAGACCAGCCTGGCCAACATGGTGAAGCCCTGTCTCTACTAAAAATACAAAAATTAGCCAGGCGTAGTGGCGCGCACCTGTAATCCCAGCTACTCAGGAGCCTGAGGCAGGAGAATCGCTTGAACCCGGGAGACGGAGGTTGCAGTGAGCCAAGATCTGTCACTCTGGGTGACAGAGTGAGACTCTGTTTAAAACACGCACACGCGCACACACGTGCACACACACACACACACACACACACACAGTCAAAAAACTTTGTTTCATGCACAAAACTATTTAAAATATTGTATAAAATTACCTTCAGGCTATATGTATAAGGTGTATATGAAACATAAATGAATTTTGTGTTTAGACTTCAGTCCCATCCCCAAAATATCTCATTATGTATATGCAAGTCTTCCAAAATCCAAAATGGTCTAATTTCCAAAACACTTCTGCTCCCAAACATTTTGGATACGGGATCCTCAACCTGAATAGCCAAGAAACATATTATAGAATAATTTTTATTTTATTTATTTATTTATTTATTTAGAAACAGGATCTCACTCTGTTGCCCAGGCTGGAATGCAGTGGCATGATCTCAGTTCATTGCAACCTCCACCTCCTAGGCTGAAGGGATCCTCCCACCTCAGTCTCCCAAGTAGCTGGGACTACAGGCATAAGCCACCACGCCTGGCTAATGTTTTATTTTTTGATATTTTGTAGGCATAGGGTTTTGCCATGTTGCCCAGGCTGGTTTTGAACTCCTAGGCTCAAATGATCCACCTCCCTCGTCTTCCCAAAGTGCTGCAACTACAGGCATGAGCTAGTGCGCCTGGCCTAGAATAATTTTTAAGTGACTCAGATAAATGATGATGTGGTATCATTAAATAAAACCAGCATTTGCAATTCCTCGGTCATATGGTTCCATTTGGACAAAAAATAAAAGCATATATATGTAAATATAAATGTATGGAAAGAAGACCAGAAAGATATATATTGAAAATAACAATAGTTATCGCTAGATGTTAGGATTATGGGTGACTTTTCTTCTTGTGCTTACATGTAATGTCTAAATGTTCTGCACAATGAACATGTATTTCTTTTGCAATAAGAAAACATAAAAACTGCTAGGCACAGTGACTCACACCTGTAATCCCAGCACTTTGGGAGGCCAAGGTGGGTGGATCACTTGAGGTCAGGAGTTGGAGACCAGCCTGGCCAACATGGTGACACTCCATTTCTATTAAAAATACAAAAATTAGCTGTGCGTGGTGGTGGGCACCTTTAATCCCAGCTACTCCGAAGGCTGAGGCAGGACAATCACTTGAACCTGGGACGCGGAGGTTGCAGTGAGTCAAGATCGCATCACTGCACTCCAGCCTGGGCGACAGAAGGAGACTTCATCTCAAAAAAAAAAAAAAAAGAAAGAAAAAGAAAAAGAAAAGAAAGAAAATATTAAAAACTAAAAGTTTTTTTTTTTTAATTAAAAGAAGATAATGATGTAAGAGTTACTTCTAGGACCAACACGGGAACTTAGATGTTAACATTAGACATGGCTTGGGAGGTCCAGATCATTCGACTTTAGAAAGACTACTTGGAATGTGATTATTGCAGAGGAGTGACATGTTTGGCAACTCAGAAACCGGTAGGTTTTGTAGATCAAAATTGGAAACAATTCACTGATATATAAACTTTTAGACAGTTGGACCGTAATCTAAGCTGCTATGGGCATGTAAGCTTTTTGCTATCTAGACCTTCATTCATTTCCACAGATCTCAGGGGCTTTTACCTCCAACCTGTGTTTGCCTACCGCTAGATCTGAGAGACCTGCTGTGTGACCCTGAGCCCTCGCTGTGCATCATCGCTTCCCAGACTCTGTTACTAGTCCAGATGGCGAGGGCCGAACCAAAACCTAAGCAGAGAGTGAACTGGTTGCAGAAGCTCATGGGCAGGTCCTCTGCCTAGAAACACAAGGCAAGCAACATCAGGTAAAAACCAATCCTTTCAGAAGCCACAGAGGCCACTGATGCCAGCCCCACTTTTTTCAGACTTAAAACAATGCCAGCATGAAGCCACCTCTACCCATTTAATTACCTCCAACATGTCTTTTGCTTTCAAAACCTTAAGATATAGAGGAGGGCAGTTCTTAGTTTAAAATTGCAGATATAATTTAAAAATCTATAGAGTTTTTGGCCGGGCATGGTGCCTCATGCCTATAATCCCAGCACTTTGGCGCCAAGGCAGGCAGATCACTTGAGGTCAGGAGTTCGAGACCAGCCTGGCCAACATGATGAAACCCCGTCTCTACTTGAAATACAAAAATTAGCCGGGCATGGTGTCAGGCACCTGTAATCCCAGGTACTTGGGAGGCTGAGGCAGGAGAATCGCTTGAACCCAGGAGGCAGAGGTTGCAATGAGCCAAGGTCGCACCACTGCATTCCAGCCTGGGCGACAGAGTAAGACTCTGTCTCAAAAAAAAAAAAAAAAAGTTCACATCTTTTTTTTTGTTTGTTTTATTTCTTTTAGAGTTAGGGTCTCCCTCTGTCACCCAGGTTCGAGTGCAGTGGCATGATCATAACTCACTAACCTTAAAGTCCTGGCTTCCTGCCTCAGCCTACTAAGTAGCTGGAACTACAGGTACACACAACCGTACCTACTAATGGTATGCCCTTCATGCTGTTCTCTCCATCTCAGAAAATAAAATAGCCCTTAACTGCTACAAACAGTTCTTTGTCAAATGGGAAAGGCAAAACAGAAACAAGAGCTAACATAGGTGATGTTACGATTTGCCTATATCTACATCTTCTGCCTCCATTTAAATAATAAACTGGATTTTCTATTGCACATGCTATCTCACCAAATATCAGCACAATTATTCGCTCTGCAAATAGAGCTATATTTGGAATAGGCAAAATAATACAGTGGAAATATTATGAAGTTTGGAGTGTGCACATCTGGGATCAAATGCCAGCATTATAGCTGACTTTCTGGAAACATTAAAAAAAAATTAATTTCTCATCTGCAGGTTCATGTAAAAAATGGAGATAGCGTTTTCTAACTAAAGGCTTGTTGGAAGGAGTAAATGAAAGAGTGTATGTAAGAGGTATTACACAGATTGAGCACAGAGTACATATTTAGTGATTGTTAATTCCTCTTCCTCCCCCTTGTACTGGACTCACACCAGGGACTGACAGCTAGAGATGAATAAGCTAATTTTTTTTTTATTTTTGTAGAGACAGAATCTTGCTATGTTGTGCGGCAAGCTAGTCTTGAACTCATGGCCTCAAGTCATCCTCCTGTGTCAGCCTCCCAAAGTGCTGGGATTACAAGCATGCACCACGGCACCCAGCAGAATTCCAGTCTTGAGAAACAGGTCAAGGACAGCTTCAAAAGAGATTCTAAATAAATGTTAATGTTACAATGTTAGTATGTCTGCTTAATTGCCAACAATATTAAGAATAAAGTAACTTTTTTTTTTTTTTTGAGATAGTGTCTCACTCATTCACCCAGGCTGGAGTGCAGTGGCACGATGATGGCTCACTGCAACCTCGGCCTCCTGGGCTTAAGTGATCCTCCCCACTGAGCCTCCCAAGTAGCTGGGACTACAGGTGTGCGCCACCATGCCCAGCTAATTTTTTGTATTTTTGGTAAAGATGGAGTTTTGCCATGTTGCCGAGGATAGTCTCAAACTCCTGAGTTTAAGTAATCTGCCCACCTTGGCCTCCCAAGTGCTGGGATTACAGACGTGAGCTACCATGCCTGGCCAACAATCCATTCTTATAGTTTCATATTTAATGATGTATTTTTGTGAAATCCTTTTTGGCCCTGTCTTCTTCCTTTTCCTTTCCCTTAAAAACCTCCAAGCGGCCGGGTGCGGTGGCTCATGCCTATAATCCCAGCACTTTGAGAGGCTGAGGCAGGCAGATCATGAGGTCAGGAGTTTGAGACCAACCTGACCAACATAGTGAAACCCTGTCTCTACTAAAAATGCAAATACCCGGGCATGGTGTCATGTGCCTGTAGTCTCACCTACTCAGGAGGCTGAGGCAGAAGAATCACTTGAACCCAGGAGGTGGAGGTTGCAGTGAGCCGAGATCACACCACTACACTCCAGCCCGGGCAACAGTGCGAGACTCCGTCTGAAAAAAAAGAAAAAGAAAAAACCTCCAAGCAAGAAAAAAACTTCTGAATTGGTGTAATGGTAAATTTATCCCAATATATCCAAGTTTTCCACTCCTTCTCCCTTTTTTCCATTTTCATAATTCCCTCTCCTATAACCGATGTCAGATCCTCAAATGGCTCTAGGATAGGAACTATTATTTGTTGAGTACCCACTGTCTGCTTTAAGCATAAATGGAGAAAAATTTCTTACAAGCAGAAATTTTCTGGGAAAAGAGATTAGTTTGTGTTGGGCAACCACTTTTATAAGCTGCATGTGGAATTGTGGGAGGCCCCCAAGAGGCACACTGGACTAATTTGGACTAATTAGAAATAGTCACCATCAATCTGATTCTCAGGCTCTTGTTTGGTTGAAGAATATACACAGAGAGCCAGAGCTGAGCTATCTAGGGCAATGGAGGGACATCTTGGAGGTGATATGGGAAAGAAGAAAGGAAATGGAAAAACTGGCAGGTGAAGAATGGAAGTATCTAATGGTTAATTGCATTTTTTTTTTTTTTTTTGAGACAGAGTCTCGCTCTGTTGCCCAGGCTAGAGTGCAGTGGCGCAATCTCGGCTTACTGCAGCCTCTGCCTCCCCGGTTCAAGTGATTCTCCTCCTGCCTCAGCCTCCCAAGTAGCTGGGACTACAGGCGAGCATCATCACGCCCAGCTAATTTTTGTATTTTTAGTAGAGACGGGGTTTTGCCATTTTGGCCAGGCTGGCCTCGAACTCCTGGCCTCAAGTGATCTGTCCACCTCAGCCTCCCAAAGTGCTGGGATTACAGGCATGAGCCACCATGCCCGGCCCCCATTACCCCCAATTCTTTGATATCTGGTTCAGGTATTCTTAGCTATTATCTTTTAGTTAGTAATTTGGATGAAATGCTTTACTTTTTTTAAACATTGGGGTTAACAACTACATAAAAAATTGAGTTTGCATTTTTCAAAATTAAAGGAAAAAAAGGTAGCCAAAAGGAATCACAAGTATGACTACGGTAGGGTGAGAAAGGAGAGAGTAGCAAATGAAGGCAGAGTTAGACAGGGGACCACCAGACCCTTAGTGCCTTGTAGGCCAGGACAAGGAGCTTGGCTTAACCCTGAAAGAAATGGGGAGTCACTAGAACATTTTCAAACTTTTGGATTTTTGACAATTGAATAGATTAAAATATGGTTTTATACCGGTTTAAACTTGTATATATATTTTTCCTATTAGAAAGGTTGGGGCCGGGCACAGTGGTTCACGCCTGTAATCCCAGCACTTTGGGAGGCCGAGGCGGGTGGGATCACGAGGTCAAGAGATTGAGACCATTGTGCCAACATGGTGAAACCCCGTCTCTACTAAAAAGTACAAAAATTACCCTGGCGTTGTGGCACACGCCTATAGTCCCAGCTACTCGGGAGGCTGAGGCAGGAGAATTGCTTGATCCCAGGAGGCAGAGGTTGCAGTGAGCCGAGATCTCTCCATTGCACTCTAGCCTGGGCAACAAGAGTGAGACTCCGTCTCAATAAATAAATAAATAAATAAATAGAAAGAAAGAAAGTTGGGCATCTTTTCACATCTAAAAGCCATTTACATTTGCTTTTCTAAGATTGTATGCAAATCCTTTCCCCCTTCTGTGGGTAGAGAGGCTTTATTAATCTTTGTAATGCACTACTTCCACAGTGCAGAACCAGCTTAAAGATCACCACTTTAGTTTTTCCTCCAAGGAAAAAGAACATTAAGAATGGTGAGGTCCAGCTGGGCATGGTGGCTCACGCCTATAATCCCAGCATTTTGGGAGGCTGAGGCGGGTGCATCACCTGAGGTCAGGAGTTCAAGACCAGCCTGGCCATCATGGCGAAACCCCGTCTCTACTAAAAATGCAAAAAAAAAAGTTAGCCGGGCATGGTGGCGTGTGCCTGTAGTCCCAGGTACTTGGGGGGCTGAGGAAGGAGAATTGCTTGAACCTAGGAGGGAGAGGTTGCAGTGAGCTGAGATCTTGCCACTGCACTCCAGCCTGGGTGACAGAGTGAGACTCTGTCTCAAAAAAAAAAAAAAAGAATGGTGAGGTCAGGTCTTGCCCCTCCCCCACAAATATCAACTGCTTTTTTTTTTTTTTTTTTTTTTTTTAATAGAAGGTTAGACAAGCAGTTTGTCCTGAGAGGGGCAAGTGCAGACTGATTTTCTGCTTAGGGCATAGCAAAGCTGGAGGACAAAAAAAGAAAAAAAAATTTAAGAATTTCAAAATGAGACATCTTGGGAAAATTAGTTAGAACTTTCTTGTACTTTCTTACACTTATTTTGTGATTTAGAATTGCATATATTTTGAATTACATTTGGAAGGGTACACACTATAATCTTTTTAGTCTTGGAATCCCTAAAGGTCATAATCAGGTTCCAACCACATGCTTTGGGAGAACTCTGAAATATTAAACCACAACAGGGAGGCTAATCATAGAGGCTATCACACAATGGGATCAAAATAGAAACAACCTTCATGTGTATCTGGCTCAAAACTGAAGGGCAGAGTAAATCTATTTCACTACCCATACTTCATTTTCTTTTTTCTTTTTTTTTTTTTTTTTTTTGAGACGGAGTCTCGCTCTGTCACCAGGCTGGAGTGCAGTGGCACGATCTTGGCTTACTGCAACCTCCGCCTCCCAGGTTCCAGCGATTCTTCTACCTCAGCCTGCCAAGTAGCTGGGATTACAAGCGCCCGCCACCATGCCCAGCTAATTTTTGTATTTTTAGTAGAGACGGGGTTTCACCATGTTGGCCAGGATGATCTCGATCTCCTGATCTGGTGACCCGCCTGCCTCAGCCTCCCAAAGTGCTGGGATTACAGGTGTGAGCCACTGCAACCGGCCTTCCATACTTCATTTTCTATTCAGAAAAGCTCAATTTTGGGTTAAATGGGCATGTCCTGGGATAATAAGAAAAAATAAAACCAATATAAGGAAGGGCATATTGATTTTTGGTTTTTTTAAATGCATGCAGGTGAGGCTGGGTTTGACAGATGTGTCCTCAGTTGTTTGTTTTTGAGACAGAGTCTCACTCTGTTACCCAGACTGGAGTGCAGTGGTGCAATCTTGGCTTACTACAGCCTCTGCCTCCTCGGTTCAAGCGATTCTTTATTCTCATGTCTCAGTTGCCCAGGTTGTTAGGATTACACAAGTGCACCCACACGCCCAGCTAATTTTTATATTTTTAGTAGTGACGGGGTTTTGCCTTGTTGGCCTGACTGGTCTCAAACTCCTGGACTCAAGTGATCCACCTGCCTCGGCCTCCCAAAGTACTGGGATTACAGGCAAAGCAAATAATGGAACAACAAAAGAACGAAGACAGGGATTTATTGAAAACAAAAGTACACTCCATAGTGGGGAAGCGAACCCACGCAGCAGCTCAAGGGCCCAGACACAGAATCTTCTGGGGTCCAAATACCCTCTAGAAGTTTCCCATTGGCCACTTTATGCTCTCTTGATGTAACTGAAGTGGTAGCCCACAATCAGTCTGAGTGGTTGCAGAAAGCAACCAATCAGAGGCCAGGGTGAAGTTAACAAAATTATACTTCTATGCAAAGGAAGACTCTCCCGCCATCAGTCTGATTGGTTGTGGACAGCAACCGTTCAGAGGCTGGAGTGAAGTTACAAAGTTGCAAACAAAGACTGGAAGGCGCTCAGTGTGATTTGTTGCAGACAGCCAATTTCCCATCTGCCATGCAGAAAAGGTCCAAGGGAACAGCCTCTGGTTCTTTTGTTACTTAGGCGTGGAAAGTTGGGGTTTTCCTTTCAATTTAGTTCTAAGAAGTCACGTGAAACAGCCATAGGTTCCCTGCCTCCAGACCCTATTCTCCTGCCTCATTTACTGCAGTCTTCTCTGCCTGCCTCTTTTAGCGACTAGCATGAGATGAGGATTCGTCTTCTAATATCCGTCACCAATCCTTCCCCTCTGTCATTTAGCGAACCACTCACTGGGCACTAGGACTTTGGGGAGAGTCCCAAGAGGCCCCTCTTCGTCCAGGGGCTACTTTTTTCTCTTCCAGCCTCCATCTCCTAACTCAAGGGGTACAGCTCAGATTATGTTTGGCGCCCAGGGACAGTGACAAACCCAGGGCCCGTGGATAGAGGAGGCATCTCACTACGCTGCACGAGGCCACCTCGCAGTAGGCAGCCCAGCCCTGCCCCAAAACCCAAGAGCCTAACCAGGAAGACAGGGGGAGGCCGCGGGCTTCATCTCCCAAGAGATGGACTACACCTCCCAGCAGGCTCTGCGCGCGGGCTGAGGATCCCTCCGCTCTTTTTCTGTCCCGCCGGCTGGGCCCCCCGCGACCAGCCAAGGGCCAAGGACAGGTCTTTCAGAATCTGAGGTACATCTTCTTATCACATTTCCGGGGAGGGACTGCTAGGAGCTCCGGAGGAAAAACGGACTTTTTTTGAGGAGAAAAGCGGAGGCAGACGGTGGATGACAACACGTCCCGCAG
Source organism: Homo sapiens (assembly GCF_000001405.40). Lineage (NCBI taxonomy): Eukaryota > Metazoa > Chordata > Mammalia > Primates > Hominidae > Homo > Homo sapiens. Next base: position 5,504 of record NW_025791812.1, on the reverse strand, counting down.
CTGCAGATTTTCGCGCGCTTTGGCGCAGGTGGTTGTGGGTAGCGCGCCTGGGAGGGAGAAAGAAGTCGGGGGCCGTGGCGCGCAGCCCGCGGGGCCTGAAGGGATGTTCGAGGACAAGCCCCACGCTGAGGGGGCGGCGGTGGTCGCCGCAGCCGGGGAGGCGCTACAGGCCCTGTGCCAGGAGCTGAACCTGGACGAGGGGAGCGCGGCCGAAGCCCTGGACGACTTTACTGCCATCCGAGGCAACTACAGCCTAGAGGTGAGCGGCAGCAGGTGGGGCGGCCGGACCCTACCCTCGCCAGGCCCCACCCCTGCCCCGCCCCTTCCTCGGCCTATGGGGTGGTGGGAGTTTCCCCACCTAGGAGGGTCGCTGCGCAGCCAAGCGCCGAGGGGCGGGAAAGGTGGGTGTAGCTCAGCCAATCCACCCATCATTTTGAGGCGGGAAACTGAAGCTCAGGAAAGGAGCGGCCTAGGTCCCGCGCCGCTCAGACCCCAGGCTTCCTGACCACACTTCCCTCTACCCCGCCAAGCGCCACAAAAGTCATGGTGCTGCCCTTAAATCAGTAAGAACAAATATAATGGTAAAGTGAAAATGAACTGCATGCCAAGACATCACTGCCCAGAGCTTTAAATGGACCCTCAGTTCCGTCTGAACCCCTTCTGTGATCCCCATTTCACGCAAGAGGAAGCGGAGCCCTAGACGGGTTAAGCTACAGGCCCAAGGTCACACGGTTAGAGATGGAGCCAGACCCAGGGTCTGAGCCGTTTAACCTCCACCCTCTGCTTCACCAGGGTGGAGCTGCCGGTCGCTGTGCAGCAGTTTGATCAAAGCCAATGTGCACACGAAGCTGATCTCAGCCCTACGTTTCCTCCTCCGTCAGAGCATCGTCCTGATGCTTTGCATCAGTGTCTGGCTCTGAATAAAACAAATGTCAGTTATAATTACTTGATTTTTTTCCCCATCATTCTTGCATTTTATCCTCGCAACAGCCCTGTGAACATGGCATGGCAATGAGTATTAGACTGCTTTCCAGGTGATAATGGCAAGGCTCAGAAGGTTGTCTTGCCTAGGATTATTCTAATATAGAAACCCAGGCTGGGCGTGGCGGCTCACGCCTATAATCCCAGCACTTTGGGAGGCCAAGGCGGGCGGATCACTTGAGGCCAGGAGTTCGAGACTAACCTGGGCAACACGGCGAAACCCCATCTCTACTAAAAAAATACAAAAACTAGCTGGGTGTGGTGGCGCCTGCCTGTAATCTAGCTACTCGGGAGGCTGAGGCAGGAGAATTGCTTAAACCCAGGAGGCATAGGCCGCAGTGAGTGGAGATCACACCACTGCACTCCAGCCTGGGTGACAGCAAGACTCTATCTAAAAACAGAGAAAGAAACCCAGACGAGCATAAGCCCAGTGTAGACAGAATTGTGATGGAGTGTATTTCATGTAGCACCACTGGCCTCATGTTCAAAGGCTTTCATGTGCCAAGGGCGCTGGACCCACTCCCAGGGTGCACCACTGACTCACCACCCAGTGAAATAATTGCTGGGTTCAAAGGCATAGAGTTGGAAAAGTGTCGATTGTATGTGTGCCTATATATGAAGGAGTAGTACCTGAAAAAAGTGTCTTCAGAACTGGATAGACTGGGTAAAGGACAATGGTCCACATCCGTGGGTGGCATGACTGGAGAGCTGTGGGAAGAATAAGAAAGTAAGGGAGATTAGAATGAATGGCGTCTCAATTGAAAACAGATTGATTTTTGAAAGCCTGAGAAAGCATTTCTGACATCCTAGGTCTGATTTGGTCTCTCTTGCCCAAGGTCACACCATCTGTCATTGAATAAGCATTTACTGTGTCAAACTATGGTCAAGGCATGCACCTGTTTCAGATTCTTGAATATGACAAGTTTGTTCCCAGTTTTGTGGTATATCCATGCCATTCCCTCTGCCTGGAATATTTCCCCTCACCCCCAACACCAGGAAAAGTTGAGAGCTAAATCTCTAGTTAGGCAGAGTTGAATAGGACATCTTCAATGTTTGCTCTACTTATTTATTTTTTCTTTCTTTTTTTCTTCCTTAGAAACAGGGTCTTGGCCGGGCGCACGGTGGCTCACACCTGTAATCCCACCACTTTGGGAGGCTGAGGTGGGCAGATCACCTTAGGTCAGGGGTCCAAGACCAGCCTGGCCAGCATGGTGAAACCCCGTCTCTACTAAAAATATAAAATTAGCTGAGCATGGTGACGTGCACTTGTAATCCCAGCTACTCAGGAGGCTGAGGCAGGAGAATCTCTTGAAACCAGGAGGTAGAGGTTGCAGTGAGCCAAGATCACGCCATTGCACTCCACCCTGCACAAGAGTGTAACTCCATCTCAAAAAAAAAAAAAAAATGGAAAGAAACAGGGTCTTGCTCTTTTGACCAGGCCTGGAATGCAGTGGTGCAATTATAGCTCACTGTAAACTCAAACTTCTGTGCTCAAGTGATGTTCCTGCTTCAGCCTCCCCAGTAGCTGGGACTATAGGCATGCACCACGGTGCTCAGCTAATTTTTCAATTTTTTGTGGAGATAGTATCTGACTATGTTGCCCAAGCTGGTCTTGAACTGGCCTCAAGTGATTTTTCTGCCGCAGCCTCCCAGAGCATTGGGATTACAAGCATGAGCCACCGAGCCCAGCCCAATGCTTGCTTTAGAAAGCACAAATGTATGAACTGAAATTTTGTGTTTATTCTATCCAGTGTTTATTTTCCTCTTTTTTTAAAATCAATTTTTTAAAGGTATTTGGAGTAGTCATTTTCATATATCTCATGCTTCCTAAGAAGTCTTTCTCCAATCCCTACCCCTCTCTAGTCTACCTGACAAACTCCTGCTTACATTTTTATTGATTTACAAATTTTGTCTCCTTTTGTGAGGCCTTCCCTAAACTGTAGTCAAAATCAGTTATTCACTGCACTATATTCTCCTACAACACTTTATCTTCAGTTCTTCTTATAGCTTGTATATCTCACCAATTATAAATGATAGTATCTGTTCCTCTTCTTAGCTCCAGATGTGAAGTTCTGTGAGATCAGAAAACATTTTTTGTATTTCTAAGGCCTGGCAAGTAGGCCTTAGAAATGCAAAAAATGGTTTCTGATATCATAGAATTCATAGAATTTTTATGAAATAGGATTTTATCAAATAGAATTGTATTCTATTTTATTCTCATGGAATAAAATAGTTGACTTTTTTAAGGAAAGAAAGTCAGGCCAGGCACAGTGGCTCACACCTATAATCCCAGCACTTTGGGAGGCTGAGGCAGGAGGATCACTTGAGCCCAGAAGTTCAAGACCAGCCTGGGCAACATAGTGAGACCCTATCTCTACACAAAATAAAATAGGCTGGGCATGGTGGCTCACACCTGTTATCCCGACATTTTGGGAGGCTGAGGCAGGTGGATCACTTGAGCCCAGGAGTTTGAGACCAGCTTGGGCAATATGGTGAAACCCCATCTCTACAAAAATTAGCTGGGTGTGGTGGCATGTGCCTTTAGTCCCAGCTACTCCAGAGGCTAAGGTGGGGGGATTGCTTGAGCCTGGGAGGTCGAGGCTGCAGTGGCCCTCATTCCTGGGAAGTCAAGACTGCAGTGGCCCTGATTGTACCACTGCACTCCAGCCTGGGGCAACAGAGTGAGACCCTGTTTTAAAAAGTAAAATAAAAATCAGTGTATTCTTTAATGTCTTTAAAAAAATCGAAACAATAATTTTAGGACTTATATTTTCACCATCTTGCTAGAATTTTCATTTAGTAGCCTGTATCCAAAGGCTCTATAATACTTGGATGCTAATCCCAAACAACTCTTTCTCTTTTTCTTTTTTGAGACAAAAAAAGGGCCTCAGGCACTTCTCCCATCTCAGCCTCCAGAGTAGCTGGGACTACAGGCGCATACCACCACGTCCTGCTAATTTTTTTGTATTTTGTAGAGATAGGGTTTTGCTGTGTTACCCAAGCTAGTCTCGAACCCCTGAACTCAAGCAGTCCACCCACATCAGCTTCCCAAAGTGCTGGAATTACATGCGTAAGCCACCATGACCAGACCCTATTCCCAAGCAATTCATTAATCAAAGCTTGTAAAAATATTCATCTTTAAGCTTACCTGCCTCATTTAGTGCTTTGAGAAAAGACTTCTCATTCCTTCAGGGTAGGAACATTGGGTTTATTGATGGCCACCCATTTCTACCCACCCCTTTTAGATTATTGCAAGAAATCTTTTTATCAATCTTTTTATCCTTCTAGGGTTTGGTCTTAAAGACAGTCTGTGGAACAGTGTATAAGAACACTATTGTGTTGTGCTATCAGATTTACATCTGTAATTCTTTTTTTTTTTTTTTTTGAGATAGAGTCTCGTTCTTTCACCCTTGCTGGAGTCCAGTGGGTCAGTCACAGCTCACTGCAGCCTTAACCTTCTGGACTCAAATGATCCTCCCATCTCAGTTCCCCAGGTAGCTCTAACTACAGACGTGCCACATACCCGGCTAATTTTTTCCTTTTTTGTACAGACGGGGGTCTCACTATGTTTCCTAGGCTGATCTTGAACTCCTGAGCTCAAGCAATCCTCTGCCTCAGCCTCCCAAAGTGCTGGGGTTACGAGCATGAGCCACTGTGCCTGGCCTTTATCTGTAATTCTTGTTTTTTTTTTTGAGATGGAGTCTCACTCCCGTTGCGCAGGCTGGAGTGCAGTGGCGTGATCTCGGCTCACTGCAACCCCCACCTCCTAGGTTCAAGTGATTCTCCTTCCTCAGCCTCCCAAGTAGCTGGGATTACAGGCGTGCGCCACCACACCTGGCTAATTTTTGTATTTTTTAGTAGAGACGGGGTTTCGCCACATTGGCCAGGCTGCTCTCAAACTCCTGACCTCAGGTGATCCACCCATCTCGGCCTCCCAAAGTGCTAGGATTACAGACGTGAGCCACCGCACCGGCCTATCCGTAATTCTTAATCCTTAAACTTCAGCTATTGTATTTCAGCAGTGAAGTCATGAAGTGATTCTAGCTTGGAGATGTCTGAAGTCTAATGCAGAAAATTGTTGAATTCCCAAATGTCACCTTTTTGTGGCATTGTAAATTGAGATATCTACTAATATAAAGAGCCGTGCTTACTACAGTCGTGTGCTGCAGAATGTTTCAGTCAGTGATGGACCACACATACTTTATTTTTACTATATGTTTTCTGTGTTTAGATACACAAATAATTACTATTGTGTTACATTTACCAACAGTATTTAGTATAGTAACATGCTCCACAGGTTTGTAGCCTAGAAACAATAAGCATACCATATAGCCTAGGTTTAGTAGGCTATGCTATGTTTGCACAACAAAATTGCCTAATGTTGCATTTCTCAGAATATATCCCTGTCATTAAGCAATGCATATGACTGTATTTTAAAGATGACATGTTTTGGGGTAAATCCCCAAATGTTTACCTTACAAAAATGACAGTCTCCTTCATGTTGCGTAAGATTAATATTAATT